>NT_187392.1:0-81189 GCF_000001405.40 Homo sapiens | reverse complement strand
GATTCCATGCAATGATGATTCCATCGAGTCCATTCGATGATTCCATTTGATTCCATTAGATGATGACTGCATTCCGTTCTATTCGATGATGATTCTAACGGACTCTATTCGATGACTCCATTCGATTCCATTCATTGATGATTCCATTCAATTCCGTTTGATGATGATTCCATTCAATTCCATTTGATGATGATTCCATTCGATTAGATTCAATGATGATTCCATTGGATTCCATTCAATGATTGCATTTGATTATATTCGATGATGATTCCTTTTGGGTCCATTCGATGATTCCATTCTATTCCATTTGATGATGACTCCATTTGATTATTCCTTTCAACTCCATTTGATGTTTTGTTTTGATTCCAATGTTCATTCCATTTGAGTCCATTCTATGATTCCATTCAAGTGCATTCCATGATTTCATTCAATTCCATTCGATGATGATTCCATTCGATTCCATTCGATGATTCCATTTGATTTCATTCGATGATGATTACACTAGATTCCATTCAATGATTCCATTCGAGTCCATTCAATGATTCCATTCGAGTCCATTAAATGATTCCGTTTGATTCCATTTGATGATGACTCCATTCGAGTCAATTGAATGATGATTCCATTTGATTCCACTCGATGATTCCATTGGATTCCATTCTTTGTTTTATTTTGATTCCTTTTGATGATGATTCCATTCATTTTCATTTGATGATCCCATTCGATTCTATTCGTTGATGTTTCCATTCAAATCCATTTGAAGAAAGTTCCATTCGATTCCATTGATGATGATTCCATTCAATTCTATTTGATGCTGATTCTATTCGATTCCATTCGATGATGATTCCATTCCATTCGATGATTAAATTCGATTCCATTCGAAGATGATTCCATTCGAGACCATTCGATGATTCCATTCAATTCCATTCAATAATGATTCCATTCGAGTCCATTCGATGATTCCATCCAAGTCCATTCGATGATTCCATCTGATTCCATTCAATGAATCCATTCGATTCCATTCTATGGTGATTCCATTCGTTTCCATTCAATGATGCCATTCGATTCCATTTGAAGATGATTCCAATCAATTCCATTCGATGATTCCATTCGAATCCATTCGATGATGAGTCCATCCATTTCAATTTCATGATAATTCCATTCGTTTCAATTCGATGGTGTTTCCATTCAATTCCATTTGATGTTGATTCCATTACTTTCCATTGGATGATGATTCCATTCGAGTCCATTCGATGATGATCACATTCGATTTCATTCCATAAGTCTATTCGATTCCATTTGATGAAGATTCCATCCGATTCCATTTGATGATTCCATTTGATTCCATTCAATGATGATTCCATTCATTTCCATCCGATGATGACTCCATTCGATTCCATTTGATGATTATTCCATTTGAGTCCATTCGATGATTCCATTCGATTCCATTCAATGATGATCGCATTCGAGTCCATGGATTATTCCATTCCATTCGATTCGATGATTCCATTCTAGTCCATTCGATGATTCTCTTCGATTCCATTCGATAATTCCGTTTGATTCCGTTGGATGTTGATTCCATTTGAGTCCATTCCATGATAATTCCATTCGATTCTATTTGGTGATTCCATTCGATTCCATTTGAAGATGATTCCATTTGAAACCATTCGATGATTCCATTCAATTCATTCGATGACGATTCCATTCAATTCCATTCGATGATTCCATTTGATTCCATTTGATGATGATTCCATTTGATTCCATTCAATGATGATTCCATGTGATTCCATTCGATGATGACTCTTTTCGTTTCCATTCAATGATGATTCCATTCGGTTGCATTCGATGATGATTCCTTTGGATTCCATTTAACGACGTTTCCATTCAATTCCAATTGATGATGATTCTTTTCGATTCCATTCGATGATGATTCCATTCAATTCCATTTGAACATGATACCATTTGATTCCACTTGATGATTCCATTCGATTCCATTCAATGATGATTCCATTCGAGTTCATTGATTATTTCATTCCATTCCATTTGATGATTCCATTCGAGTCCATTCGATGATTCTATTCGATTCCATTCGATAATTCCATTCTATTCCATTTGATGATAATTCCATTCGAGTCCATTCGATGATTATTCCATTCGATTCTATTCAGCGATTCCATTCAATTCCATTTGATAATGATTCCATTCGAGACCATTCAATGATTCCATTCAATTCATTCCATGATGATTCCATTCAATTCCATTCGATGATTCCATTCAATTCCATTCGATGATTCCATTCGATTCCATTTGATGATGATTCCATTCGATTCCATTCGATGATGATTCCATGCAATTCCATTCGATGGTGACTCCTTTCGGTTCCATTCGATGATGATTCCATTCGGTTCCATTCGATGATGATTCCTTTGGATTCCATTCAATGATGATTCTTTTCATCTCCATTTGATGTTGATTCTTTTCTATTCCATTCGATGATGATTCCATTTGATGCCATTCGATGATGATTCATTCGATTCCATTCAATGATTCCATTCAATTCCATACAATGATGATTCCATTCGAGTCCATTCGATGATTCCATTCAATTCCATTCGATGATTCCATTCGATTCCATTTGATGATGATTCCATTTGATTCCATTCGATGATGATTCCATGCAATTCTATTCGATGGTGACTCCTTTCGGTTCCATTCGATGATGATTCCATTCGGTTCCATTTGATGATGATTCCTTTGGATTCCATTCAATGATTCCATTTGATTCCTTTTGATGATTATTCCATTCGAGTCCATTCGGTGATTCCTTTTGATTTCAATTGAAGATGATTCCAGTTGATACCATTCGATGATACCATTTGATACCATTCATTGATGATTCCATTTGAGTGCATTCCATGGTACCATTCGATCCCATTCAATGATGAATCCATTCGATTTCACATGATGATTCCATTCAATACCATTCTATGATGATTCCATTGGAGTCCATTTGATGATTCCATTTGACTCCATTTGATGATGATTCCATTCAATGATTCCATTTGATTCTATTCGATGATGATTCCATTTGGTATCATTCGATGCTGATTCCATTCAATTCCATTTGATTATTCCATTTGATTCCATTCGAAGGTTCCATTAGATTATATTTGAGGATGATTCCACTCGATTCCATTCAATGATTCCTTTCAATTCTATTCGATGATGATTCCATTAGATTCCATTGGATGATGACTGCATTTGATTCCATTCGATGATTACATTTGATTCAATTCGATGATGATTGCGATCAATTACGTTCGATTATTTCATTTGATTCCATTCGATGATTCCAATTGATTCCATTCGATAATGATTCCATTCGAGTCCATTCAATTATTCCTTTTGAGTCCAATCCATGATTCCATTCGAGTCCGTTCGATCATTCCATTTGAGTCCATTCGATGAAGATTCCATTCGAGTCCATTCAATAATTCTTTTTAAGTCCATTCGATGATGATTCCATTCGAGTCCAGTCAATGATTCCATTTGATTCCATTCGATGATGATTCCATTTGAGTCCATTCAAGGATTCCATTTGATTTCATTCGATGATGATTCCATTTAATTCCATTGAATGATTCCATTCTATTCCATTTGATGGTGATTGCATTCGAGTCCATTCAATGATTCCATTCGGGTCCATTTAATGATTCCATTGAGTTCAACACGATGATGATTACATTGGATTCCATTCTATGATTCCATTCGATTCTTTTCGTTGATGATTCCGTTCGATTCCATTCAATGATTATTCCATTCGATTTCATTCGATGATTATATTTGATTCCATTTGATGAAAATTCAATTCTGTTACATTGGATGATTCCATTCGATTCCATTCGATGATGATTCCATTCGATTCCATTCGATGATGATTCCATTCAATTACATTAGATGATGAATCCATTCGATTCCATTCAATGATGATTCCATTCTATTCCATTCGATGATGATTCCATTCAATTTCATTCGATGATTCCATTTGATCCCATTCGATGATGATTCCATTCTATTCCATTGGATAATTCCATTCTATTCCATTCGATGATGATCCCATTCGATTCCATTCGATGATGATTCCATTTGATTCCATTCGATGATGATTCTATTCGATTCCATTTGAGGATGATTCCATTCACTTGCATTCAATGATTTCAATTGAGTCGATTCAAAAATTCAATTTGATTCCATTCGATCATGACTCCATTCGAGTCCGTTCGATGATTCCATTCTATTCCATTCCATGATGATTCCATTCGATGCCAATCGATGATTCCATTCGATTCCATTTGTTGATGATTCCATTCGAGTCCATTCTCAGATTCCATTAGATTCCATTTGATGATGATTCCATTCGAGTCCATTCGATGATTCCATTCGATTCCATTCGACGATGATTCCATTTGAGTCCATTCGATGATTCCATACAATTCCATTCGATGATGATTCCACTCGAGTCCATTAGATGATTCCATTCGAGTCCATTTGATTATTCCCTTAGATACCATTCACTGGTGATTCTATTCAATGCCATTCGATGATTCCATATGGTTCCATTTGGTGATATTTCCATTTTAGTCCATTCGATGATTCCATTGGATTCCATTCAATGATGATTCCATTCGTATCCTTTCAATGATTCCATTTGATTCCATTCAATGATGATTCCACTCGAGTCCATTTGATGATTCCATTTGATTCCATTTGATGATTCCTTTCGATCCCATTTGATGATTCCCTTTGATTCCATTTGATGATCACTCCATTCAATTCAGTGATCCCATTGGATTCCATTCGATGATTATTCCATTAGATTCCACTCCATGATGGTTCCATTCGGTTCCATGTGATGATGATTCCATTAGATTCCATTAGATGATTCCATGCGATTCCATTTGTTGATGATTCCATTCGATTCCATTTGATGATGATTCCATTTGTTTTCATTCTATGATTCTATTTTATTCCATTCGATGATGATTCCATTCTATTCCATTCAATGATTCCATTCGATTCCATTCTATGATGATTGTATTTGACTCCATTTGATGATGATTCCATTTGATTCCATTCGATGATGATTCCATTCATGTCCATTCGATTCCATTCTATGATGATTGTATTTGACTCCATTTGATGATGATTCCATTTGATTCCATTCGATGATGATTCCATTCATGTCCATTCGATGATTCCACTCAATTCTATTCGATGATGACTCCAAACAAGTCCGTTACATTATTCCATTTGATTCCATTGGATGATGATTCCTTTCGATGCCATTTGATGATTCCCTTCTATTTCATTTGATGACGATTCCATTCGGTTCCATTCGATGATTCCACTCAATGATGATACCATTCAATGCCATTCAATGATTCCATTCAATTCCGTTCGATGATTCCATTCAATTCCATTCAATGATGATTCCATTCGAATCCATTCAATGCTTGCATTCGATTCCATTCGATGATGATTGCATTCGAGTCCATTTGACGATTCCATTTGATTTCATTCAAAGATGATTCCATTCGATTCCATTCAATGGTGTTTCCATTCGAGTCCATTCGATGATTCCATTCGTTTTCATTTGATGATGATTCCATTCGATGTCATTCAATGATTCTATTTGATTGCCTTCAATGATGATTCCTTTTGAGTCCATTCAATGATTCCATTCAAGTCCATTCGATGATTCCTTTCAATTCCATTTGATGATGATTCCATTTGAGTCCATTCAATGATTCCATTCGATTCCATTTGATGATGATTCCATTCGAGTCCATTCGATGATTCCATTCGCGTCCATTTCATGATTTTTTTGGGTTCAATTCGATGATGATTACATTGGATTCCATTCTATGATTCCATTCGATTCCATTAATTGATGATTCCATTCGACTCCACTCGATGATGATTCCATTCGATTTCAATGATTCTATTCGATTCCATTCGATGATTCCATTCTATTCAATTCGATGACTCCTTTAGATTCCACTTGATGATGATTACATTCGATTTCATTCAATGATTCTATTTGATTCCATTCGATGATGATCCCATTTTATTCAATTCTATGATTCCATTCGATTCCATTCGGTGATGATTCCATTCAAATCTATTTGATGATTCCATTCAATTCCATTCGATGATGATACTATTTGAGTCCATTCGATGATGACTGCATTCGATTCCATACGATGATTCCATCTTATTCCACTCGATGAAGATTCCAATCGATTACATTAGATGATTCCATTCAATTCCATCTGATTATTCCATTTCATTCCATTCCATAATGATTCCATTTGAGTCCAATCCATGATTCCATTCAAGTCCATTCAATCATTCCATTTGAGTCCATTCGATGATGATTCCATTCGAGTCCATTCGATGATGATTCCATTCAAGTTCATTCGGTGATTCCATTCGAGTCCATCCGATAATTCCATTTCAGTCCATTCGATGATGGCTTTTGATTCCATTCGACGATATTCTTTTTGAGTCCATTCCATGATTCCATTTGATTCTATTCGATGATGATTCCTTTCATCTCCATTCGGTGATTCCATTCGATTTTATTCAATGATGATTCCTTTCGAGTCCATTAGATGATTCCTTTCAAGTCAATTAGATGATTCCTTTCAATTCCATTTAATGATGATTGCATTCGAGTCCATAAAGTGATTACATTCGATTCCATTCAATGATGATTCCATTCAATTCCATTCGATGATCCTATTTGATTCCATTCAGTGATTCCATTTGATTCCATTCGATGATGATTCCATTCCATTCCATTCGATGATTCCATTTGATTCCGTTCAATGATGATTTCATTCGAGTCCATTTGATGATTCCATTTGATTCTATTTGATGATTTATCCATTCGAGTCCATTCGATGATTCTATTCGAATCCATTTGATGATTACTTTTGATTATATTCGGTGATGGTTCCATTCGAGTCCATTCAATGATTCCATTTGATTCCATTCGATGATGATTCCATTCGAGTCCATTTGATGATTCCATTTGACTCCATTCTCCAATGATTACATTCGAGTCCATTTGATGATTCCACTCGATTCCATACGATGATGATTCCGTTCAATTCCATTCGATGATTCCATTCTATTCCATTCAATGATGATTCCATTCGAGTACATTAGAAGATTCCTTTCGATTATATTCGATGATGATTCTATTCGTGCCCATTACATGAGTCCACACAATTCCACTCGATAATGATACTATTCGAGTCCATTCAATGACTCTCTTCAATTCCATTCGATGATGATTCCTTTCAATTCAATTCATTGGTGATTCTATTCAATTCCATTCTTTGATTGCATTCCATTCCATTCGACAATGATTCCATTTGATTTCTTTCGATGATTCCACTCAATTCCACTTGACATTGATTCCATTTGATTCCATTCAATGATTCCATTTGATTCCAGTTGATGATGATTGCCTTTGATTCCATTCGATCATTCCATTCGATTCCGTTTGATGATGATTCCGTTTGATTCTATTTGATGATTCCATCTGATTCTATTCGAGGATTCCATTCGATTCCATTCAATGATGATTCCATTCGAGTCCATTCGATGATTTCATTCGAGTCCATCCAATGATTCCATTTGAGTCCATTTGATGATTCCATTCGATTCCATTTGATTATGATTCCACTAGAGCCCATTCGATGATTCCATTCGAGTCCATTCAATAATTCCATTCGAGTCAATTCGATTATTCCATTCGAGTCCATTCGATGATTTCATTCGAGTTCCTTCGTTGATTCCATCCGATTTCATTTGATGATGACTGCATTCGAGTCCATTCAATGATTCCATTCGATTCCATTAGATGATTCCATTGGAGTCCATTCGATTATTCCTTTTGATTCCATTCAATGATTCCATTCAATTCCTTTCTATGATAATTCCGTTTGTGTCCATTCCATGATGATTCCATTCGATTCCATTCAATGATTCCGTTCGATTCCATTCGATGATTCCCTTCGATTCCGTTCCATGATGATTCCATTCCATTCCATTTGATGATTCCATTCTAATCTATTCCATGATGATTCCTTTTGATTCCATTCTCTAATGATTCCATTTGATTCCATTCGATGATGATTCCATTTGATTCCATTCGATGACGATTCCATTTGATTCCATTCAATGATGATTCCATTCTATTCCATTCAATTATTCCATTAAATTTCATTTGATGATTACTCCATTCGAGTAAATTCAACGATTCCATTCAATACCATTCGATGATTATTCCTTTCGAGTCCATTCAGTGATTTCATTCAAGTCCATTTGATGATTCCTTTCAATTCCATTCGATGATGATTTCATTCGAGTCCATTCGATGATTCAATTCGCTTCCATTCGATGATGATTCATTTGAGTCCATTCGATGATTCCATTTGATTACATTCAATGATTCCATTCGATTCCATTCAATGATGATTCCATTCGAGTCCATTTAATGATTCCATTGGTTTCAATTCGAAGATGATTAAATTGGATTCCATTCTATGATTCCATTCGTTGATGATTCCATTCGATTCCATTTGATGATGATTCAATTATATTCCATTCGATGATTCCATTCGATTCCATTCTATGATGATTCCATTTGAGTTCATTCGAAGATTCCATTTGATTACATTCTATGATGATTCCATTTGTGTCCATTCGAAGATTCCATTTGATTACATTCTATGATGATTCCATTCGAGTCCATTTGATGATTCCATTTGACTCCATTCAACGATGATTCCATTCGATGCTATTCAATGATTCCATTCGATTCCATTCTATGATGATTCCATTCGAGTCCATTCGATGATTCCATTCAACTCAATTCAGTGATGATTCAATTCGATGACATTCGATGACTCCATTCAATTTCATTTGATGATGATTCCATTCGATTCCCTTCGATGATGATTACATTCGAGTCCGTTTGATGATTCCATTCTTTTCCATTCGATGATGGTCCATTCATGTCTATTCGAAGATTCCATTCAATTCCATTCAATGATGATTCCATTTGATTCTGTTCGATGATTATTCCGTTAGATTCCATTAGATGATTGCATTCAATTCCATTTGATTCCATTCAATGATGATTCCATTAGACTCCATTCGATGATTCCATCGAGTCCAATGATTCCATTCGAGTCCATTTGATGATTCCATTCTTTTCCATTCGTTGATGATTCCATTAGAGTCCATTCGATGATTCCATTTGAGTCCATTCGATAATTTCTTTCGAGTCCATTTGATGATTCCATTCGAGTCCATTCGATAATTCCATTCGAGTCCATTTGATGATTCCATTCTTTTCCATTTGATGATTCCATTAGGGTCCATTCGATAATTCCTTTCGAGTCCTTTTGATCACTCCATTCGAGTCCATTCGATGATTCTATTTGATTCCATTCGATGATTCCATTCGATTCTATTTGATGATTGCATTCGAGTCCATTCGATGATTCCATATGATTCCATTCGACAATGATTCCATTAGTGTCCATTTGATGATTCCATTCATTTCCATTCAATGATGATCCCATTCGAGTGTATTCGATGATTCCATTCAAATCCATTCGATGATGATTCCATTTGAGTCCATTCGATCATTCCACTTAATTCCATTTGATGACTATTCCATTTGAATCCATTCGATGATTCCATTCGTTTCCATTCGATAATACAATTCGAGTATATTCGATGATTCCACTCGATTCCATTTGATGATTATTCCATTGGAGTCCACTTAGTGAATCCTTTAGATTCCACTCGAAGATGATTCCAGTCAATTCCATTCAATGATACCATTAGATTCCATTCGTTGATTATTCCATTTGAGTGCATTCAATGATATCCTTCAATTCCATTTGATGATGATTCCATTCGATTCCATTTGATGATTCTATTCGATTCCATTCAATGATGATTCCACTCGAGTCAATTCGATGATTCCATTGGACTCCATTTGATGATGACTCCATTCAATGATTCCATTTGATTCTATTCAATAATGATTCCATTTGATTCCATTCGATGTTGATTCCATTGGATTACACACGATGATTCCATTTGATTCCATTCAATGATGATTCCATTCGATTCCATTTGATGATTGCATTCTATTCTATTCAATGATAATTCCATTCGATACCATTCGATGATGATTGCATTCGATTCCATTCGATGATTTCATTTGATTCCATTCAATTCCATTCGATGATGATTCCATTCGATTCCATTCGATGATTCCATTCTGTTCTATTCGATGATAATTCCATTCGATTCCATTCGATGATGATTGCATTTGATTCCATTCGATGATTTCATTTGATTCCATTTGATGATGATTCTGATCAATTCCATTTGATGATTCCATTCGATTTCATTCAAAGATGATTCCATTCGATTCCATCTGATAATTCCATTCCATTCCATTTGATGATTCCAATGTATTCCATTTGATGATGATTCCATTCGAGTCCATTCGATGATTCCATTCAATTCCATTTGATAATGATTCCATTCGAGTGCATTCATTGATTCCATTTGATTCCATTCAATGATGATTCCATTCGAGTCTTTCTGATGACTCTATTCTATTCCATTCTATAACTATTCTGTTCGAGTCCATTTTATGATTCAATTCGAGTCCTTTCGATGATTCCATACTATTCCATTTGATGATGCTTCCATTCGAGTCTATTCGATGCTTCCATCTGATTCCATTTGATGATTCCATTCGAGTCCAATTGATGATTCCATTCAATTCCATTCGATGATGATTCCGTACGATTCCATTGGGTGATGATTCCATGTGATTGCATTCAGTGATGATTCCTTTTGATTCCATTCTATTATGATTCATTTCGTGTTCATTCGATGGTTCCACAGGTTTCCATTTGATGATGATTCCATTCGAGTCCATTCCATGATTCCATTCTATTCCATTCTATGATGATTCCATTTGATTCCATTCATTGGTGATTCCATTAATTTCCATTCAATGATTCCATTCCATTCCTTTTGACAATGATTCCATTAGATTCCATTCAATGATCCACTTGATTCCATTTGATGATGATTCCATTCGTGTCCATTCGATGATTCCATATGTTTCCATATGATGATGATTCCATTCAAGTCCATTCAATGGTGATTCCAATCAATTCCATTTGATGATTCCATTCGATTCTATTCGATGATGATTGCTTTTGATTCCTTTCGATGATTCCCTTCAATTCCATTCAAAGTTGATTCCATTCGATTCCATTCGATAATTCCATTTGATTCCATTCCATGATGATTCCATTCGAGTCCATTCGATGATTCCATTCAATTCCAGTCAATGATGATTCCATTCAATTCCATTCGATGATTCCATTGGCTTCCATTCGATGATGATTCCTTTCGAATACTTTCAATGATTCCATTCGAGTCCATTCGATGATGATTCCATTTGAGTTCATTCTATGATTCCATTCTGTTCCATTCAATGATAATTCCATTCGAGTCCATTCGATGATTCCATTCTATCCCATTAGATGATTATTCCACTCAAGTCCATTCAGTGATTGCATTCGAGTCCATTCGATGATTTCATTCGATTCCATTCGATGATGATTCAATTCGATTCCATTCGATGAGCCATTCGATTCAATTTCATGATGATTCCCTTTGATTCAATTCGATGATGTTTCCATTCGAGATCATTCGATGATCACTCCATTCGAATGCATTCGATGAAGATACCATTCGAGTCCATTCAATGATGATTCCATTCAAGTCCATTTGTTGATGATTCCATTCGATTTCACTCGATGTTTCTGTTTGATTCCATTCAATGATGATTCCATCTGATTCTGTTCAATGATTCCATTCCATTCCATTCAGTGATGATTCCATTCGATTCCATCTGATGATGATTTCATCTGATTTCATTCGATGATGATTCCATTTGATTGCATTCGATGATGATTCCAATCGAGTCCATTTGAAAATTCCATTCGATTCCATTCAATGATGATTCCATTCGTCTCCATTCAATGATTACCTTCCATTCCATTTGATGATTATTCCATTCTATGCCATTTGATGATTCCATTCGATTCCATTCGTTGATGATTCCATGCGATAACATTTGATGATGATTCCATTCGATTCCAGTCGATGATGATTCCATTCGATTGCAGTCGATGATGATTCCATTCGAATCCATATGATGATTCCATTCGATTCCGTTCGATTATTCCATTCAATCCCATTCTATGAGTCCTTTCATTCCCATTCGATGATTCCTTTTGATTCCATTCGATGATCATTCCATTCAAATCGGTGATACCATTCGATTCCATTGGATGATGATTCCATTCGATTCCATTCGGTTCCTTGTGATGATGATTCCATTAGTTTCCATTCAATGATTCCATGTGATTCCATTTGTTGATGATTCCATTTGATTCCATTTGATGATGATTCCATTAGATTCCATTTGATGATGATTCCATTCGATTCCATTCGATGATTCTGTTTGATTCCATTCAATGATGATTCCCTTCTATTCCATTCGATGATTCCGTTCGATTCCATTCTGTGATGATTCTATTCGATTCCTTTTGATGTTGATTCCATTTGATTCCATTCAATGATGATTCCACTGGTGTCCATTCTATGATTCCACTTGATTCCATTCGATGATGATTTCATATGAGTCCGTTAGATGATTCCATTTGATTCCATTTGATAATGATTCCATTTGATGCCATTCGATGGTTCCATTCGATTTCATTTGATGACTATTCCATTTGACACCATTCGATGATTCCATTTGATGAGGATTCCATTAGAAGCAATTCGATGATTCCATAACATTCCATTTGATGATGATTCCATTCGTTTCCATTCGATGATTCCATTCTAGTCCTTTTGATGATTCCACTTGAGTCCATTTGATGACACCATTCGTGTCCATTCGATGATGATTCCATTCGTGTCCATTCAATGATGATTCCATTCGATTCCCTTCTTTCATTTTTCCATTAGATTCCATTCAAGGATGATTTCATTTGACTCTATTCGATGATGATTCCATTCGATTTCATTTGATGTTTCCATTCGATTCCATTCAATGATGATTCCATTCAATTCCATTTGATGATTCCTTTTGATTCCACTCGATGATGATTCCATTCGATTCCATTCGATGATTCCATTTGATTCCATCTGATGATGAGCCATTCGATTCAATTCCATGATGATTCCATTTGATTCAATTCAATGATGTTTCCATTCGGTTCCATTCGATGATGATTCCATTAGATTCCATTCGATGATGATTCCATTCGAGTCCATTCGATGATGATTCCATTTGAATCTGTTTGATGATGATTCAATTCGATTTCATTCAATGCTTCTATTCGATTCCATTCAATGATGATTCCATCAGATTCCATTCGATGGTTCCATTTGATTCCATTCAGTGATGGTTCCATTCGATTCCATTCAATGATGATACCATTTTAGTCCATTGGATGATTCCACTCGTTTCCATTTGATGATGATTCCATTTGATTCCATTCGTTGATGATTCCAGTCAAGTCCGTTTAATGATTCCATTCATTTCCGTTTGATAATGATTCCTTTGGATTCCATTTGATGATTCCATTTGATTCAATCCGTTGATTATTCCATTAGGTTCCATTCATGATGATTCCATTCGACTGCATTCGATGATGATTCCAGTCGATTTCATTCGATGCTTCTATTTGATTTCATTCGATTATGATTCTATCTGATTCCATTCAATGATCCCATTTGATTCCATTCAGTGTTGATTCCATTCAATTCCATTTGATGATGATTTCATTTGATTCCATTCAATAATGATTTCATTCAACTCCATTCAATGATTCCATTCGAGTCCATTCGATGATTCCATTCGAGTCCATTTGATGATTCCATTGGACTCCCTTTGATGATGAATCCATTCAATGATTCCATTCGATTCTATTCTATGGTGATTCCATTCGATTTTGTTCGATGCTGATTCTTTCAATTCCATTCGATGATTCCATTCGATGATTCCATTCGATTACATTCGACGATGATTCCATTCAAATCCTTTTGATGATTCCATTCGATTCTATTTGATGATGATTCCATTCGATTCCATTTGATGATGACTGCATTAGTTTCTGTTCGATGATTCCATTTGATTCCATTCGATGATGATTCTGACCGATTCCATTTGATGATTCTGTTTGATTCCTTTTGATGATTCCATTTAATTCCATTTGATAATGAATCCATTCAAGTCCATTCGATATTTCTAGTTGAGCCCATTAAATAATTCCATTTGGGTCCAATCAATAATTCCATTCGAGTCCATTCGATCATTCCATTTGAGTCCATTAGATGATGATTCCATTCGAGTCCATTCGATGATGATTCCATTTGAGTTCATTCAATGATTCTATTCTATTCCATTTGATGTTGATTCCCTTCCACTCCATTCGATGATGATTCCATTCGATACCATTTGATGATTCAGTTTGATTCCATTCGATGACTCACTTCGATTCCTTTTGATGATGATTCCATTCGATGATTCCTTTCAATTTTATTCA
Organism: Homo sapiens; assembly: GCF_000001405.40. NCBI lineage: Eukaryota > Metazoa > Chordata > Mammalia > Primates > Hominidae > Homo > Homo sapiens. The sequence goes on along the minus strand of NT_187392.1, from coordinate 66,451 downwards.
ATGATGATTCCATTTGATTCCGTTTGATGATGCTTCCTTTTGATTCCATTTGATGATGATTGCATTCGTTTCCTTTTGATGATGATTCCTTTTGATTCAATTTGATGATGATTCCATTCAATTCAATTGAGGACGATTGCATTTGAGTCCATTCAATGATTTGATTCGAGTCCATTCAACGATGATTCTATTTGATTCAATTCGATGATGATTCCATTGGAGTCCATTCGATGATTCCATTCTATTCCATTCAATGATTCCATTCGTTTCCATTCGATGATTCCATTTCATTCCATTCGATAATGATTCCATTCGATTCCATTTGATGCTGATTCCATATGATGCCATTCGATGATGATTCTATTCGAATCCATTTGTTGATGACACCGTTAGTTTCCATTAGAGGATGATTCCATTCAGTTCCATTCAATGATGATTCCGTTAGATTCCATTCAATAATTCCATTCCATTCCATTCATTGATGATTCCATTCGAATCCATTTGATGATGATTCTTTTTGATTCCATTCGATGATGATTCCATTTGAGTCCATTCGATGTTGATTCCATTGGATTCCATTTGATGATGATTCCATTCGATTTCATTTGATGATTCTATTCGTTTCCATTTGATAATGTTTCCATTCGATTCCATTCCATGGTAATTCCTTTCGAGTCCATTTGATAATTCCATTCGATTCGATTCAATGATGATTCCATTCTAGTCCATTAGATCATTCCATCCGATTCCATTCGATGATCATTCCATTCGAGTCCATTCGATGATTCCATTCAGTTCCATTTGATGATGCCATTAGATTACAGTTGATGATTCCCGTTGATTCCATTCAATGATTATTCCATTCGATTCCATTCGATGATTCCAGTCGATTCCATTCAATGGTGATTCCATTGGATTACATTCGATTATGATTCCATTCAATTCCATTCGATCATGATTTCATTCAATTCCATATGACGATGACTCCATTAGATTCCATATGATGATTCCATTGTGTTCCATTCGATGATGATTCCATTGGATTCCATTTGGTGATGATTCCATTCGATTCCATTTGATGATGATTCAATTGGATTTCATTCTGTAAGTCTATTTGATTCCATTCACTGAGATGCCTTTCTATTGCATTCGATGATTCCATTCGATACCATTCAATGATGATTCCATTCGATTCCATTCGATGATGTTTCCATTCCATTCCATTGAATGATGATTCCATTCGAGTCCATTTCATGATTCCATTTGATTCAATTCGATGATGATTCCATTAGGGTCCATTCAATGAATTCATTCAATTCCATTCGATGATGATTCCATCCGATGCCATTCGATGATTACATTCGATTTTATTCGATGATGATTCTGTTCGATTGCATTCAATGATTCCATTCGATTCCACTCGATTATGATTCCTTTCAAGTCATTCGATGTTTCCATTAGATTCCATTCGAAAATGATTCCATTCGAGTCCATTCAATGATTCCATTCGAATCCATTCGATGATGATTCCATTCAATTCCATTTGATGATTCCATTTGATTCCATTCAATGATGATACCATTTGAGACCATTTGATGATTCCACATGATCCCATACGATCATTCCATTTGAATCCACACAATGATTCCATTCAAGTTCATTCAGTGATTCCATTCGATTCCATCCAATGTTGATTCCATTCGATTCCATTCGATGGAATCATCCGTTTGATTCGATCCGATGATGATTCCATTCAAGTCCATATGATGATTCCATTTGATTCCATTCGATGATTCCATTCGATTCCATTTGATGATGATTCCATTCAATTCCATTGGATGATTCTATTTGATTCCATTCGATGATGATTCCATTAGATTCCACTCGATGATGATTCCTTTTGATTTCATTTGACGACTCCACTCTATTCCATTTAATGATGATTCCATTCAATTCCATTCGATGATTCCATTTGATGACGTTTCTATGAGAGTCCATTTGGTGATTCCATTCCTTTCCATTTGATTATGATTCCATTTGTATCCATTCGATGATTTCATTCAATTCCATTCAATGATACCATTCGAATCCATTTGATGATTCCCTTAGATTCCATTTGATGATCATTCCATTCGATTCCATTCGATGATTCCATTCGATTCCATTCGATGATGATTCCATTTGATTCCATTTGATGATGATTCCATTGGATTCCATTCATTGATGATTCCATTCGATTCCATTCGATGATGACTCCTTTAGGTTCCATTTGATGATTATTCCATTCAGTTCAATTCGCTGATGATTCCAATAGATTCCATTCGATGATTCCATTCGATTCCGTTCATGGATTGTTCCATTCGATTCCAATCAATGATGATTCCATTCGATTCCATTCAATGATGATTCAATTCAATTTCATTGGATAATGCTCTTCAATTCCATTCGATGATGATTCCATTCTATTCCATTCAATGACGATTTCATTTGATTCCATTTTATGATGATTCCATCCTATGTTATTCAATGATTCCATTCTATTTCATTCGATTGTGTTTCCATTCGATTCCATTCGATGATGATTCCATTCAATTCAGTTCGATGAAGATTCCTTTCGAGTAAATTCGATGATTCCATTAGACTTCATTTGATGATTCCACTCGAATCCATTCGATGATTCTAATCGATTCTATTCAATGATGATTCCATTCGAGTCCATTCTACAATTCCATTCGATTCAACTCGATGATGATTTCATTCGATCCAACTCGATGATGATTCCATTCGAGTCCATTAAATGATTCCATTCGATTCCATTCGATGATGATTCCATTTGGGTCCATTCGATGATTCCATTTGATTCCATTGGATGATCATTCCATTCGATGCCATTCCATGATTCCATTCGATTTCATTTGATGATGATTCCATTCCATTCCATTCATTGATGATTCCATTCAATTCCATTCTATGATGATTCCCTTCAATTCCATTCGATGATGATTCCATTCGATTCCATTCGATGATTGCATTCGATTCCGTTCAATGACGATTCCTTTCGTGTCCATTTGAGGATTCCATTCGATTCCATTTGATGATGATTCCATTCGAGTCCATTCAATGATTAAATTTGATTCCATTTGATGATGATTCCATTCGAGTCCATTCGATGATTCCATTCGATTCCATTTAATGATGATTCCATTCGAGTTCACTCGATGATTCCATTCAACTCTATTCGATGATGATTCCATTCGATTCCATTCGAAAATTCCGTATGATTTCAATTGAGGGTGATTCAATTGGAGTTCATTCGATGATTCCATTTGATTCCATTCGATGATGATTCCATTCAAGTCCATTCAATGATTCCATTCGATTTCATTTGATGATTCTCTTCGATACCATTTGATGATGATTCCATTCTATTCCATTCGATGATTCCATTCGATTCCATTCAATGATGATTCCATTCGATTCCATTCAATGATGATTCCCTTCATTCCATTCGATGATGATTCCATTCAATTCCATTTGATGATGATTCCATTCGAGTCCATTCAATGATTCCTTTCACTTCCATTCGATGTTGATTCCATTTGATGATTCCATTTGATTCCATTCGGTGAAGATTCCATTCATGTCCTTTCGATGATTCCATACGATTCCATTCGATCATACCGTTTCATTCCATTCAATGATTCCCTTCGATTCCATTCAATGATCATTCCATTCGATTCCGTTCGATGATTCCATTCGATTGCATTCGATGCTGATTTCATTCACAACCATTCGATGATGATTCCATTCGAATCCTTTTGATGATGATTCCATTCATTTCCATTTGATGATGACTCCTTTTGGTTCCATTTGATGATGATTCCATTCGGTTCCATACTATGATGATTCCATTAGATTCCATTCAATGATTCCATTCGATTCAATTCGATGATGATTCCATTCATTCAATTCAATGATGTTTCCATTCGATTCCATTCAATGATGATTCCACTTGAGTCCATTCAATGATTCCATTTAATTCCATTCGATGATTATTCCATTTGTGTCCATTTGAAGATTCCATTCTCTTCCATTCGATGATGCGTCCATTCGATGCCATTCGATGATTTCATTTGATTTCATTCAATGATGATTGCATTCACATCCATTCTTTGATGATTCCATTTGATTCCATTCGATGATGATTCCATTCGAATCCATTCGATGATGATTCCATTCAAGTCCAATCGAGGATTCCATTTGAGTCTATTCGATGATTCCATTCATTTCCATCCCATTATGATTCAATTCGAGTCCATTTGATGATGATTCCATTCAATTCTATTTGATGATTCAAATCGATTCCATTCAGTGATTCACTTCGAATACTTTTGATGATGATTCCAATCGATTCCATTCGATGATTCCATTCAATTCCATTAGATGAGGATTCCATTCTATTCCACTCGATGATTCTATTTGCTTCCGTTCAATGATGATTCCATTTGATTACATTCAATGATTCAATTCGCTTCCATTTGATGCTGATTCCATTCGATTCCTTTCGATGATGATTCCTTTTGATTCTATATGATTTTCATTGCATTTGATTCCATTGATAATGATTGCATTCAAATCCATTTGATGATTCCATTGGTGTCCATTCGATGATTCCTTTCGAGTCCATTCCACAATGACTCCATTTGATTACATTCGATGATCATTAAATTCAACTCCGTTTGATGATTCCATTCCCTTCCATTCGACGAGGATTCCATTCGTTTCCAATCGATTATTGCATTCAATTCCATTCAATGAGGATTCCATTCCATTCCATTAGATGATTCCAATCGATTCAATTCGATGATGATTCCATTTGATTCCATTCGTTGATTCCATTCCATTCCATTGGGTAATGATTCCATTCGTGTCCATTCGATGATTCTGTTTGAAGCCATTTGATGGTTACTTTCGTTTCCATTCTATGATGATTCCATTCGATTCCATTCGATGATGATTCCATTTGATGCCATTCAATGATTCAATTCGCCTTCATTCGATGTTGACTCCTTTCGATTCCTTTCGATGATTCCTTTTGGTTCCATTCGATGATGATTCCATTCGTGTCCATTCGATGATTCCATTCAAATCCATTCGAACATACCGCTCGATTCCATTCGATGATTCCCATCGATTCCATTCGATGATCATTCCATTCGATACCATTCGATGATTCCATTTGATTGCATTCGATGTTGATTCCATTCACAACCATTCGATGATGATTCCATTCGATTCCATTCGATGCTGATTCCATTCCATTCCATTTGATGATGACTCCATTAGGTGCCATTTGATGATGATTCCATTCGGTTCCATACGATGATGATACCATTAGATTCCATTTGATGATTCCATTCCATTCCATTCGTTGATGATTCCATTCGATTCCATTCAATGATGATTCCATTCGATTCCATTCGATGATGACTCCATTTGGTTCCACTTGATGATGATTCCACTCACTTCCATACGATGAAGATTCCATTAGATTCCATTCCATGATTCCATTCAATTCCATTCGATGATGATTCCATTCGATTACATTTGATGATGGTTTCATTTGATTCCATTTGATGACGATTCCATTTGATTTCTTTCTTTAACTCTATTCGATTCCATTTGATGATGATTCCATTCGGTTCCATTCGATGATAATTCCTTTAGATTCCATTCGATGATTCCATTCAATTCCATTAGTTGATGATTCCATTCAATTCCATTTGGTGACGATTCCATTCTATTACATTCAATGATGGTTCAATTCAATTTCATTCTATAACTCTATTTGATTCCATTCGATGATGATTCCTTTCTATTCCATTAGATGATTCCATTCTATTCCATTCAATGATTATCCCATTTGATTCCATTCGATGATGACTCCAATCGATTCCATTCAATGATGATTCAGTTCGAGTCCATTCAATGATTCCATTCGATTCCATTCGATGATGATTTCATTCTAGTCCATTCAATGATTCCATTGGATTCCATTCAATGATGATTCCATCCAATGCCATTCGATGATTTCATTCGATTTCGTTTGATGATAATTCCATTCGATTCCACTCGATGATTCCATTGGATTCCATTCAATGATCATTCCTTTCAATTCCAATCGATGTTTCCATTCAATTCATTCAATGATGATTCCATTTGATTCCATTTGATGACTCCATTCAGGTCCGTTCAATTATTCCATTCGATCCCATCCCATGATGATTCCATTCGAGTCCATTCGGTGATGATTCCATTCGATTCAATTCGATGACTCAATTCGATTCCATTCAATGATTCACTTCGATTACTTTCAATGATGATTCCATTCCATTGCATTCGATGATTCCATTTGATTCCATTCGAAGATGATTCCTTTGGAATCCATTTGAGTTTGATTTCATTCAATTCCATTGATGATGTTTGCATTCTAGTCCATTCAATGATTCCATTCAAGTCCATTCAATGATTCCATTCAAGTCCATTCAATGATGATTCCATTCAATTCCATTTGATGAGGATTCCATTCCTGTCCATTAGATGATTTGATTCGTTTCCATTGGATGATGATTCCATTCGATTCCATTTGTTGATTCCATTCTATTCCATTGGATGGTGATTCCATTCGTGTCCATTCGATTATTCTGTTCAAATCCATTCGATGTTTGCTTTCAATTCCATTCGATGACGATTCCATTCTATTCCACTTGATTATGATTCCATTCGATACCATTCTATGATTCCATTCGTTTCCATTCGATGATGATTCCATTCCATTCCATTCGATGATACCATTCAATGAGGATTCCATTCAATTCCTTTCGATGATTCCATTCGATTTCATTCGATGATGTTTCTATTCGAGTCCATTCGATGACTCCATCCGATTCCATTCGATGATGATTCCATTCGATTCCATTTGAAGTTTCCATTCGATTCCATTCGATGATGATTCCATTCGAGTCCATTCTATGATTCAATTCGATTCCATTCAATGATTCCATTCGATTCCATTCGATGTTTCCCTTCGACTCCATAAGATGGTCATTCAATTCAATTCCATTTGATGATTCCATTCAATTCCAATCGTTGATGATTCCATTGGATTCCATTCGATGATGATTCCATTTGAGTCCATTCGATGATGATTCCATGCAATTCCATTCGATGGTGATTCAATTAGGTTTCACTTGATGATGATTCCTTTCGGTTCCATTGGATGATGATTCCATTAGTTTCCATTTGATGATTCCATTCGATTCAATTCGTCGAGGATTCCATTCGATTCCATTCGATGATGATTTCATTTGATTCCATTCGATGATGATTCCATTCGAAGATGATTCCATTCAATTCCCTTCGATGATAATTCCATTCAATTTCATTTGATGATTCTATTCGATTCCATTTGTTGATGATTCCATTTGATTCCCTTCGATGATGATTCCTTTCCTTTCCATTTGATGATTTTTCCATTCGATTCCATTGATGATGATTGCATGAGAGTCCATTCAATGATTCCATTCGTGTCCATTTGATAATTCAAGTCGAGTCCATTAAATGATGATTCCATTCGAATCTATTTGATGATGATTCCAATCGATTCCATTCGATGATGATTCCATGCATTTCCATTTGATGATGATTCCATTAGGTTTCATTTGATGATGATTCCATTCGGTTCCATTGGATGATGATTTCATTCCATTCTATTCGATGATTCCATTCGATTCCATTCTTTGATGATTCCATTCGATTCCATTCGATGATGATTTCATTTGATTACATTCAATGATGATTCCATTCGATGATGATTCCATTCGATTCCATTTGATGATAATTCCATTTGATTCCATTCGATCATTCTATTCCATTCCGTTTGTTGATTATTCCCTTCGATTCCATTGATAATGATTGCATAAGTTTCCATTCAATGATTCCATTCGTGTTCATTTAATGCTTCCATTCAAGTCCATTTGAGGATGATTCCATTCGATTCTATTCAATGATGATTCCATTCGAGTCCATTCGATGATTCCATTTGATTCCTTTTGATGAGGTTTTCATTCCAGTCCATTAGATGATTCCATTTGATTCATTTTGATTATGATTCCATTCGATTCCATATGTTGATTTGATCAGATTCCATTCAGTGATGATTCCATTCGTGTCCATTCAATGATTCTATTCAAATCCATTTGATGATTGCCTTTAATTCCATTCGATGGTGATTGCATTTGATTCCATTTGATGATGATTCCATTCAAAACCATTCTATGATTCCATTGATACCATTTGATGATGACTCCATTCCATTCCATTTGATGATTCTATTCGATTCCATTCGATGATGATTCCTTTTGATTTCATTCAATGATTCAATTCGATGCCATTCAATGATGATTCCATTCGATTTCATTAGATGATTCCATTCGATTACCTTCGATGATGATTCCATTCCATTCCATTCGATGATACTATTCGATAAGGATTCCATTCGATTCCTTTCGATGATCCCATTCAATTTCATTCGATGATGTTTCTATTTGATTATTCCATTCGATTCCATTCGATGATGATTCCATTCGTGTACATTCTATGTTGATTCCATTCGATGATGATTCCTTTCAATTCCATTTGACGATGACTCCATTAGGTTCCATTTGATGATGATTCCATTCTGTTCCATTTGATGATGATTCCATTTGATTCCATTCGATGATTCCATTTGATTCCATTCGTTGATGATTCCATTCGATACCATTCAATGATGATTCCATTAAATTCCATTCGATGATGATTCCATTCGATGATGATTCCATTCAATTCCATTCGAAGATGATTCCATTCGATTTGATTTGATGATCCTATTTGATTCCATTTGATGATTCTATTGGATTCCATTCGATGATGATTCCATTCGATTCTTTTGATGATGATTCCATTTGAGCCCATACAATGATTCCATTCAATTCCATTCGCTGATGATTACGTTCGAGTCTGTTCAACGATTCCATTCGATTCCATTTGATGATGATTCCATTCGATGTCATTCAATGATTCCATTCGTTTTCATTCGATGATGATTCCATTCGATTCCACTAGATGATTCCATTTGATTCCTTTCTATCATGATTCCATTCGAGTCCGTTAAATGATTCCGTTCGATTCCTTTCTATCATGATTCCATTCGAGTCTGTTCAATGATTCCATTCGATTCCATTCGATGATGATTCCATTCGGGGCCACTGGAGGATTCCATTCAATTCCATTCGATGATTCCATTCGAGTCCATTCGATGATTTCATTCGAGTCCATTCGAGGATGATTCCTTTTGATTCCATTCCATGATTATTCCATTCGATTCCATTCGATGAAGATTCCATTCGATTTTATTCAATGATTCTGTTCGATTCCATTCAATGATGCTTCTATTCAAATCCATTCAATGATTCCATTCGATTCCATTCGAAGATGATTCCATTCCAGTCCTTTAGATGATTCCATTAGATAATGATTCCATTTGATTCCTTTCAATGAATAAATTCGATTTCATTCAATGATGTTTCTATTCGAGTCCATTCAATGATTCCATTCGATTCCATTCTATGATAATTCCATTCGAGCCCAATGGAAGTGTCCATTAGATTTCATTCGATGATGATTCCATTCGAGTCCATTTGATGATTCCATTCGATTCCATTTGATGAGTCAATTCGATTCGTTTTGATGATTCCCTTCAATTCCATTCGATGATAATTCCATTCAATCCCATTCGATAATTCCATTTGATTCCATTCATTGACAATTCCATTGCACTGCATTCGATGATGATTCCATTTGATTTCATTTGATGATATTTGCATTCCATACCATTGTATGAATCCATTTGATTCCATTCGATGAGGATTCCATTGGAGTCCATTTGATGATTCCATTCGATTCCATTTGATGATTCAATTCAATTCCATTCGATGATTCCCTTCTATTCCATTCAATGATAATTCAATTTGAGTCTATTCAATGAATTCATTCGATTCCATTCGGTGTTGATTCCATTCGAGTCCATTCGAGGATGATTCCATTCGAGTTCATTCCATGATTCCATTCGATTCCATTCGTGATGATTCTATTCGATTCCGTTCGATGGTGATTCAATTCGATTCCATTCGATGGTTATTCCATTTGATTCCATTCGGTGATGATTCTATTCAATTCCGTTCGATGGTGATTCAATTCGATTCCATTCGATGCTTATTCCATTCGATTCCATTTGATGATTTCATTCAATTCCATTCGATGATTTCATTCGATTCCATTCGATAATTCCATTCGATTCCATTTGATGATTCCATTCGATGATTTCATTTGATGATTTCATTCGATTCCATTCGATGATGATTCCATTCGAGTCCATTCGCTTATTCCATTCTATTCCATTAGATGACGATTACATTCGAGTCCATTCTATGATTCCATTCTATTCCATTAGATGATGATTACATTCGAGTCCATTCTATGATTCCATTCAATTCCATTAGATGATTACTCCATTCAATTCCTTTTGATGATGATTCCTTTAGATCCCATTCCATGATGATTCCATTCGTTTCCATTTGATGATGATTCTATTAGTTTCCATTCAATGAGGATTCCATTCGATGATGTTTCTATTCAATTACTTTCGAGGATTTTTTTTCTTCCTTTCGATGTTCATTCCATTCAATTCCACTGGATGATTCCATTCCATTCCATTCGATGATTATTCCATTTGATTCCATTTGATGATCAGTTATTTTGATTCCATTAGATGATGATTCCATTCAATTGGATTTGATGATGATTCCGTTTGATTCCATTCAATGATGATTCCATTCGAGTCCATTCCATGATGATTCCATTCGAGTCCATTCCATGATGATTCCATTAGAGTCCATTTGATGATGATTCCATTCGAGTCCATTCAATGATTCCATTCTATTCCATTCAATGATGATTCCATTCGAGTCCATATGATGATTGCATTTGATTCCATTCGACGTTGATTCCATTCGAGTCAATTTGTTGATTCCATTTGATTCCATTCGATGATGATTCCATTTGATTCCATTCGATGATGATTCCATTCGACTCTTTTCAATGATTCCCTTCGATTCCATTGAATGATGATTCCATTCTAGTCCTTTCCATGATTCCATTCGATTCCATTAGATGATGATGCCATTCAATTCCATTCGGTGAAGATACCCTGCAATTCCATTTGATGATTATTCCATTCGATTCCATTTGATGATGATTCCATTCGATTCCATTTGATGATGATTCGATTCAATGACGATTCTGTTCAATTCCATTTGATGATGATTCCCTTCCATTCCATTAGATGACGATGCCATTCGATTCCATTTGATGATGATTCCATTCGATTCCATTCAATGATTATTCCATTCGAGGCCATTCGATGATTCCATTCAATTCCATTAGATGATTCCATTCAATTCCACTTGCTGATGATTCCATTCAATTCCATGTGATGATGATTCCATTCGATTCCATTCGATGATGATTCCATCTGAGTCCATTCGATGATGATTCCATTTGAGTTCATTCAATGATTGCATTCGATTCCATTTGATGATTATTCCATTCGATGCCATTAGATGGGGATTCCATTCTATTTCATTCAATGATCATTCCCTTTGATTCCACTTGATGATTCATTTCGATTCCACTCAATGATGACTCCATTTGAGTCCATTCGATGATTCCATTTGATTCCATTCAATGATGATTCCATTCGGGTACATTCCATGATTCCAATCGATTCCATTCAATGATGATTCCATTCAATTCCATTCGATGACTATTCCTTTTGCTTCCATTCGATGATGATTCCATTCAATTCCATTCGATGATGATTCCTTTCGATTCCATTCCATAATGTTTCCATTTGATTCCATTCGAAGATTTAATTCAAATCCTTTTGATGATGATTCCATTCAATTCCATGCGATGATTATTCCACTCGGGTCCATTCGATGATGATTCCGTTCCATTCCACTCAATGATGAATCCACTCGAGTCCATTCAATGATAAAATTCCATTCCATTCGATGATGATTACAGTCGGGTACATTCCATGATTCCAATCGATTCCATTCAATTATGATTACATTCGGGTACATTCCATGATTCCAATCGATTCCATTCGATTATGATTCCATTCAATTCAATTCGATGATGATTCCTTTTGATTCCATTCGGTGATGATTCCATTTGATTCCATTCAGTGATGATTCCTTTTGATTCCATTCGATGATGATTCAATTTTATTCCAATCGATGATGATTCCTTTCGATTACATTAGATGATGATTCCATTCGATTCCATTCGATGATGATTCCTTTTGATTACATTTGATGATGATTCCACTTGATTCCATTCGATGATTAAATTCGATTTCTTTTGATGATGATTCCATTCGATTCCATAAGATGATTATTCCATTCGATACGATTCGATGATGATTCCATTTGGTTCCATTCCATGGTGATTCCATTTGATACCATTCGATGATGATTCCTTTCAATTCGTTTCAATGATTCCATCCAATTCCATTCAATGATTCCATTCGATTCCATTCAATGATGATTCCATTCGAGTCTATTCGATGATTCCATTTGAATTCATTCGGTGATGATTCCCTTAGATTGCATTCAATGATTCCTTTCTATTCCATTCGATGATGATTCCATTCATGTACATTCGATGATTCCATTCGAGTCCATTTAATGATTACATTGGGTTCAATTCGATGACAATTACTTTGGATTCCATTCTATGTTTCCATTTGATTCCACTCATTGATGATTCCATTCGATTCCATTCGAAGATGATTCCATTCGATTTCATTCAATGGTTCTATTCGATTCCATTCAATGATGATTCAATTCTCTTCCATTCGATGATTCCATTCCATTCCATTCGATGATGATTCCATTCGATTGCATTCTATGGTGATTCCATTCGAGTCCATTCGAAGATTCCATTCGATTACGTTCCATGACGATTCCATTTGAGTCCATTCGATGATTCCATTCGACTCCATTCGACGATGATTCCATTCGATGCTATTTGATGATTCCTTTTGATTCCATTCGATGATGATTACAATCAACTCCATTTGATGATTCCATTCGAGGCCATTCAATGATGATTGCATTCGTGTCCATTCGATGATTCCATTCAATTCCATTCGATGATGATTCCATTCGAATCCATTTGATGATTCCACTCGATTCTGTTCGATGACTCCATTTGATCCCATTTGATGATTCCCTTCGATTCCATATCGTGATCCTTCCATTTGATTCAATTCAGTGATTCCATTTGATTCTATTCAATGATTGTTCCAATCGAATCCTATAGATGATGATTCCCTTTGATTTCATTTGATTATGATTATATTCGATTCCATTTGATGATGATTCCATTCGAGTCTGTTCAATGATTACATTTGATTCCATTCGATGATGATTCCACTCAAGTCCATTCATTGATTCCATTCGATTCCGTTCGATGATTTCATTAGATTCCATTCGAAGATAATTCCATTCGATGTCATTCGATGATTCCATTCGAATCCATTCAACGATGATTCCATTCATGTACATTTGATGATTCCATTCGATTCCATTTGATGGTCATTCCATTAGAGTCCATTCGATGATTCTGTTCAATTCCATTCAATGATGATTCCATTCTAATCCACTAGATGATTCCATTCGATTCCATTCGATGATGACTACAATCGGTTCCATTTGATGATGATTCCAACGGATTCCATTCTATTTCTTCATTTGATTCCATTCGTTAATGATTCCATTCGTTTCCATTAGATGATGATTCCATTAGATTCCATTCAATGATGATTCCGTTTGATTCCATTCAATGACTATTCCATTTAATTCCATTCAATGATGATTCCACTCGATTCCATTCGATGATTCCATTTGATTCCATTCGATGGTGATTGCATTCGGGTGCATTCTATGATTCCATTCGATTCCACTCGATGATATTTCAATTCGAGTCCATTCAATGATTCCTTTCGATTCCATTCGATGATGATTCCATTCGAGTCCATTCGATGATTGCATTCGAGTCCATTTGATGATTCCATTCGATTCCATGCGATGATGATTCCATCGAATACATTCAATTATTCCATTTGATTTCACTCGATGATGACTGCATTCGGTTCCATTCTATGATGATTCCAACGGACTCCATTTGATGACTCCATTCGATTCCATTCATTGATGATTCCATTCGATTCCATTCGATGATGTTTCCATTCGATTCCATTCGTTGATGATTCCATTCGATTCCATTCGATGATGTTTCCATTCGATTCCATTCGATGATGATTTCATTTGACTCCATTCCATGATTATTCCATTCGATTCCATTCAATGATGATTCCATTTGATTCCATTCGATGATTCCTTTTGATTCCATTTGAGTCCATTCGATGATTCCAGTCGATTCCATTCGATGATGATTCCATTCGATGATTCCATTCAATACCATTCGATGTCTCCTTTCGATTCCACTTGATGTTGATTTCATTGGAGTCCATTCAATGATTGCAGTCCATTCCATTCGATGATCATTCCATTCGATGATTCCATTCAATACCATTCAATGTTTCCTTTCGATTCCACTCGATGTTGATTTCATTGGAGTCCATTCCATGATTCCATTCGAGTGCATTCCATGATTTCATTCGATTCCATTCGATGATGATTTCATTCGAACCCATTCAATGATGATTCCATTTGATTCCATTCGATGATTCCATTGGATTCCATTCTCTGTTTTATTTCGATTCTTTTTGATGATGATTCCTTTCTCTTTCATTCAATGATCTCATCCGATTCTAATCCATGATAATTCCATTCTATTCCATTTGATGAAAATTCCATTCGATTCCATTTGATGATAATTGCATTCGATTCTATTTGACGCTGATTCTATTCGATTCCTTTCAATGATGATTCCATTCAATTCCATTCGATGATTCCATTTGATTCCATTCGATGATGATTCCATTCGAGACCTTTTGATGATTCCATTCAATTCCATTCAATAATGATTCCATTCGAGTCCATTTGATGACTCCATTCAAGTCCCTTTGATGATTCCATCTGATTCCATTCGATGATGATTCCATTAGGGTCCATTCGATGATACCATCCGATTCCATTCAGTGATGATTTCATTCGATTCCATTCAATGATTCCATTCGATTCCATTCGATGATGATTCCAATCAATTCCAATAGATGATTCCCTTCGAATCCATTTGATAATGAGTCTATTCATTTCAATTCCGTGATGATTCCATTCGATTCAATTCGATGGTGTTTCCATTTGATTCCATTCGATGTTGATTCCATTTGATTCCATTGGATGATGATTCCATTCGAGTCCATTCGATGATGGTTCCATTCGAGTCCATTCGATGTTGATTCCATCCGATTACATTCGATGATTCTATTCGATTCCAATTAATGATGATTCCATCTTATTCCATTCGATGAATCATTCGATTCCATTCGATGATGATTCCATTCGAAGAATCATTCGATTCCATTTGATGATGATTCCATTCGTTTAAATCCGATGATGATTCCATTCGATTCCATTTGATGATTATTCCATTTGAGTAAATTCAATGATTCCATTCGATATCATTTGATGATGATTCCACTCAAGTCCATTCGATGATTCCATTCGATTCCATTCGATGATTTCATTAGATTCCATTCGAAGATGATTCCATTCGATGTCATTTGATGATTCCATTCGAATCCATTCAACAATGATTCCATTCGTGTACATTCGATGATTCCATTCGATTCCATTTGATGGTCATTCCATTCGAGTCCATTCGATGATTCCATTCAATTCCATTCGATGATGATTCCATTCTAATCCATTAGATGATTCCATTCTATTCCATTCGAAGATGACTGCATTCGGTTCCATTTGATGATGATTCCAACGGATTCCATTCTATTTCTTCATTTGATTCCATTCGTTGATGATTCCATTCATTTCCATTATATGATGATTCCATTAGATTCCATTCGATGATGATTCCATTCAATTCCATTCAATGATGATTCCATTTAATTCCATTCAATGATGATTCCACTCAATTCCATTCGATGATTCCATTCTATTCCATTCGATGGTGATTGCATTCGAGTGCATTCGATGATTCCATTCAATTCCACTCAATGATACTTCAATTCGAGTCCGTTCGATGATTCCTTTCGATTCCATTCGATGATGATTCCATTCGAGTCCATTTGATTATTGCATTCGAGTCCATTCGATGATTCCATTCGATTCCATGTGATGATTCCATTGAGTCCATTCAATGATTCCATTTGATTTCATTTGATGTTGACTGCATTCGGTTCCATTCTATGATGATTCCAACGGACTCCATTCGATGACTCCATTCGATTCCATTCATTGATGATTCCATTCGATTCCATTCGATGATGTTTCCATTCGATTCCATTCGTTGATGATTCCATTCGATTCCATTCGATAATGTTTCCATTCGATTCCATTCGATGATGATTCCATTCTACTCCATTCCATGATTATTCCATTTGATTCCATTCAATGATGATTCCATTCAATTCCATTCGATGACTCCTTTTGATTCCATTCAATAATGATTCCATTCGGGTCCATTCGATGATTCCAATTGATTCCATTCAATGATGATTCCATTCGATGATTCCATTCAATTCTATTCGATATTTCCTTTCAATTCTACTCGATGTTGATTCCATTGGAGTCCATTCGATGATTCCATTCGAATGCTTTCCATGATTTCATTCGATTCCATTTGATGATGATTCCATTCAAATCCATTCAATAATGATTCCATTGATTCCATTCGATGATTACATTGGATTCCATTCTTTGTTTTATTTAGAGTCTTTTTGATGATGATTCCTTTCTCTTTCATTCGATGATCCCATACGATTCTAATCCATGATGATTCCATTCGATCCCATTTGATGAAAATTCCATTCAATTCCATTCGATGATGATTGCATTCGATTCTATTTGATGCTGATTCTATTTGGTTCCTTTCGATGGTGATTCCATTCGATTCCATTCGATGATTCCATTCAATTCCATTCGATGATGATTCCATTCGAGACCTTTCAATGATTCCATTCAATTCCATTCAATAATGATTCCATTCGAGTCCATTCGATGACTCCATTCAAGTCCATGAGATGATTCCGTCTGATTCCATTTGATGATTCCATTAGGGTCCATTCGATGATTCCATTCTATTCCATTTGGTGATGATTTCATTTGATTCCATTCAATGATTCCATTCGATTCCATTCGATGATGATTCCAATCAATTCCAATAGATGATTCCCTTTGAATCCATTTGATGATGAGTCTATTCATTTCAATTCCGTGATGATTCCATTCGATTCAATTCGATGGTGTTTCCATTCGATTCCATTCGATGTTGATTCCATTTGATTCCATTGGATGATGATTCCATTCGAGTCCATTCCATGATGGTTCCATTCAAGTCCATTCGATGATGATTCCATTTGATTACATTTGACGATTCTATTCGATTCCATTCAATGATGAATCCATCTTATTCCATTTGATGAATCATTCGATTCCATTTGATAATGATTCCATTTCATGAATCATTCGATTCCATTCGATGATGATTCCATTCGTTTAAATCCGATGATGATTCCATTCGATTCCATTTGATGATTATTCCATTCGAGTAAATTCAATGATTCCATTCGATACCATACGATGATGATTCCATTCGAGTCCATTCGATGATTCCATTCGAGTCCATTCAATGATTCCATTCGAGTCCATTTGATGATTCCATTCGAGTCCATTCAATGATTCCATTCGAGTTCATTCGATGATTCCATTTGATTCCATTTGATGAAGATTCCATATGAGTCCATTTGATGTTTCCATTTGATTCCAATTGATGATGATTTCTTTCGAGTCCTTTCGATGATTCAATTTCATTCCATTCGATGATGATTCCATTCGAGCACATTGACTATTCCGTTCCATTCCATTCGATGATTCCATTTGAGTACATTTGATTATTCTATTCCATTCCTTTCGAAAATTCCGTTCAATTCCATTTGATGTTGATTCCATTCGAGTCCTTTCGATGATTATTCCATTCAATCCTATTCGATGATTCCATTCGATTCCATTCAATGATGATTCCATCCGTGTCCCTTCGATGATTCCATTTGGTAAAATTGGATGATGATTCCATTCGATTGCATTCGATGATTCCATTCTATTCCTTCGATGATGATTGCATTTGAGTCCATTCGATGATTCCATTCAAGTCCATTTAATGATTCCATTTGGTTCAATTCAATGATGATTATATTGGATTCCATTCTATGGTTCCATTCTATTCCATTCGTTCATGATTCCATTCGATTCCACTCGATGGTGACTTTATTCGGTTTCATTCAATGATTCTATTCAATTCCTTTCAATGATGAATCAATTCTTTTCCATTGGATGATTATATTCGATTCCATTTGATGATGATTTCATTCGATTCCATTCGATGATGATTCCATTTGATTGCATTTGATGATGATTCCATTCGTGTCCATTTGAAGTTTCCATTCGATTACATTGCATGACGATTCCATTCCAGTCCATTCGATGATTCCATTCAACTGCATTCGACGATGATTCCATTCGATGCTATTCGATGATTCCACTAGATTACATTTGATGATGATTCCATTTGACTCCATTTGATAATTCCATTCGAGTCCTTACCATTATTCCGTTAGATTCCATTCGATGAGGATTCCATTAGATGCCATTCGATGTTTCCATTTGATTCCATTCGATGATGTTTCCATTCGAGTCCATTCAATGATAACTGCATTGGATTCCATTCGATGACTCCATTTGATTCCATTCAATGATGATTCCGATCGATTCCATTCAATGATTCCATTCGATTCCATTCCATGATTCCAATTGATTCAATTCGATAATGATACCTTTCGAGTCCATTTGATGATTACATTCGAGTCCATTTGATAATTCCATTTGAGTCCAATCCATGATTTCATTCGAGACCATTCAATCATTCCATTTGAGTCCATTCGATGATGATTCCATTCGAGTCCATTCAATGATTCCATTTGATAGTTCCATTTGAGTCCATTCCATGATTGCTTTTGATTCCATTTGATGATATTCCATTCCACTCCATTCAGTGATTCCATTCGATTCTATTCAATGATGATTCCATTCGTGTCCATTCGGTGATTCCATTCAATTTCATTCAATGATGATTCCTTAGGAGTCTATTAGATGATTCCATTCGATTCCATTACATGATGATTCCATTGGAGTCCATTCAGTGATTCCTTCGATTCCATTCTATGATGATTCCATTCGAGTCCAATTGATGACTCCATTCGATTCCATTTGATGATGATTTCATTCGAGTCCATTCAACGATTCTATTCAATTCCATTCGATGATGATTCCATTCCACTCCATACGATGATTCAATTTGAGTCCATTCGATTATTCCATTAGATTCCATTCGATGATGATTCCATTCGATGCCATTCAGTGATTACATTCGATTCCTTTCAGTGATGATTGCATTCGTGTCCATTCGAATATTCCATTCGATTCCCTTGGATGATGATTTCATTTGAGTCCATTTGATGATAAATTCATTCATGTCCATTCAATGATGATTCAATTCGATTACATTCGATGGTTCTATTCGATTCCATTCGATGATGATTCCATCTGATTCCATTCGATGAATCCATTCAATTCCATTCTATGAAGATTCCATTCATTTCCATTCGATGATGATTCCATTCGATTCCATTCAATGATTCCTTTCGATTCCATTCAATGATGATTCCAATCAATTCCATTTGATGATTCCATTCGAATCCATTCAATGATGAGTCCATTCGTTTCAATTCCATCATGATTCCATTCGACTCAATTCGATGGTGTTTCCATTCGATTCCATTTGATGTTGATTCCATTGGATTCCATTGGATGATTATTACATTTGAGTCCATTCGATGATGATTCCATTCGATTTCATTTGATGATTCTATTTGATTCCATTCGATGATGATTCCATCTGACTCCATTTGATGATTCCATTCAATTCCATTCAATGATGATTCCATTCATTTCCAACCAATGATGATTCTATTCGATTCCATTCAATGATTATTCCATTCGAGTCCATTCAATGATTCCACTCGATACCATTCAATGATGATTCCATTCGAGTCTGTTCAATGATTCCATTCGACTCCATTCAATGATGCTATTCGATTCCATCCGATAATTCCGTTCAATTCCATATAATGATTATTCCGTTTGAGTCCCTTTGATGATTATTCCATTCGATTCTATTTGGTGATTCTTTTCGATTCCATTTGATAATGATTCCATTCGAGACCATTCGATGATTCCATTCATTTCATTTGATGATGATTCCATTCAATTCCATTCGATGATTCCATTAGATTCCATTTGACAATGATTTCATTTGATTCCATTTGATGAAGATTCCATGCGATTCCATTTGATGATGACTCCTTTTGCTTCCATTCGAAGATGATTCCATTCAGTTCCATTCGATGATTATTCCTTTGGATTCCATTTGCTGATGATTCCATTCTACTCCATTTGATGTTTATTCTTTTTTATTCCATTCGATGATTATTCCATTTAATTCCATTCGATGATGATTCCATTCGATTCTGTACGATGATGATTCGATTCCAATCCATTTGATGATTCCATTCGATTCCATTCGAAGATTCCATTCGATCCCTTTAGAAGATTATTCCATTCGAGTCCATTCGGTGATTCCTTTCTATGCCAATTGAAGATTTTTCCATTCAAGTCCATTCAATGATACCATTCGATACCATTAGTCGATGATTCCATTCAAGGGCATTTGATCATACCATTTGATTCCATTTGATGATGATTCCATTTGATGATTCCATTCAATTCCATTCTATGATCATTCCATTTGAGTCCATTTGATGATTCCATTGGACTCCATTTGATGATGATTCCATTCAATGATTCCATTCGATTCTATTCAATGATGATCCCATTCGATTTCGTTTGTTTGCTGATTCTATTCAATTCCATTCCATCATTCAATTTGACTCCATTCAATGATTCCATTCAATTCCATTTGATGATTCCATTTGATTCTATTCAACGATGATTCCATTCGATTCCATTCGATAATGACTGCATTCTGTTCCATTTGATGATTCCATTCGATTCTATTTGATGGTGATTCCATTCGTGTCCATTCGTTGATTCCATTCGATTTCATTCAGTGATGATTCCTTTTGAGTGCTTTAGATTATTCCATTTGATTCCATTTGATGACGATTCCATTCGAGTCCATTCAGTGATCCCATTCAATTCCATTAGATGATGATTCCATTTGATTCCATTCAATGATTCCATTCGATTCCATTTGATGATGATTTCATTCGAGTCCATTCGGTGATTCCGTTTGATTCAATTCGATGATGATTTCATTCGAGTCCATTCAATGGTTCCATTTGATTCCATTTGATGATGATTCCTTTCGAATCCATTCAATGATTCTATTTGAATTCATTTGATGATTGCTTTTGATATTTGATGATTATTCCATTCAAGTCCATTCGATGATTCCACTCGATTCCATTCGATGATAATTCCATTCGAGTCCATTTGATGATTCCGATTGCTTCCATTCTCCGATGATTACATTTGAGTCCATTCAATGATTCCCCTCGATTCCATACGATGTAGATTCCTTTTGATTCCATTCGATGATTCCATTCTATTCCATTCAATGATGATTCCATTCGAGTACATTAGATGATACCATTCAATTCCATTCGATGATGATTCTATTCGTGCCCATTAGATAATTTCACATGATTCCATTCGATAGTGATTCCATTCGAGTGCATTCGTTCATTCCATTTGATTCCATTGGACGATGATTCCATTTCATTCAATTCACTGGTGATTCCATTCAATTACATTCATTGATTCCATTCCGTGCCATTCGACAATGATTCCATTCAATTCCATTCGATGATTCCACTCGATTCCTCTTGACAATGATTCCCTTCCATTCCATTCGATGATTCCCTTTGATTCCATTCGATGATGATTGCCTTCAATTCCATTTGATGATTCCATTTGGTTCCATTCAATGATGATTCTGTTTGATTCCATTTGATGATTCCATTTGATTACATTCGAGGATTCCATTTGATACCATTTGATAATCATTCCATTCGATTCCATTCAATGATTTCATTCGATTCCAATCGATGATGATTCCATTCCAGGCCATTCGATGATTCCATTCAATTCCATTCGATGATGCTTCCATGCGATGCCATTAGATGTTTCCATTCGAATCCATTCAGTGATGATTCCATTCGAGTCCATTCGAAGATTCTATTCGATTCACTCGATGATAATTCCATTCGATTCAATTCAATGATTCCTTTTGATTCCATTCGATGATGAATCCATTTGAGTCCATTCGATGATTGCATTCAAGCCCTTTTGATGATTCCATTCGGTTCCATGCAATGATGATTCCAATGAGTCCATTTGATGATTCCATTTGATTCCATTCGATGATGACTGCTTTCGGTTCCATTCGATGGTGATTCCAACAGACTCCATTCGATGACTCCATTCGATTCCATTCATTGATGATTTCATTCGATTCCATTCAATTATGATTCAATTCAATTTCATGCGATGATTCCACTTGATTCCATTTGATGATGATTCCATTCTTGTCCAATCGATGATTCCATTCAATTCCATTTGATGATGATTCCATTCGAGTCCATTCGATGATTCCATTCGACTACATTTGATGATAATTCCATTGGATGCTATTCGATGATTCCATTCGATTCCATTCTATGATGATTACATTCGACTCCATTTGATGAATCCATTCGAGTCCATTCAATGATGATTGCATTCATGTCCATTCGATGATTCCATTCAATTCCATTCGATGATGATTCCATTTGAGTCCATTCAATGATTCCATTCGAATCCATTCGATGATTCCACTCGATTCCATTCAATGACTCCGTTCGATCCCGTTCAATGATTCCATTTGATTCCAGTTCATGATTCTTCCATTTGATTCAATTCGGTGATTCCATTCAATTCTATTCAATGATTGCTCCAATAGAATCCTAGAGATGATGATTCCATTCGATTCCATTTGATTACGATTATATTCGATTCCATTTGATGATGATTCCTTTCGAGTCCATTCGATGATTCCATTAGATTCCATTGGATGATGATTCCACTCGGGACTCGAATGGAATGGAATGGACTTGAATGGAATGGAATGGAGAGGAATGGACCCGAATGGATTGGAATGAAATGGAATGGACTGGAATGCAATGGAATGGAATGGAAGGGTCTTGAATGGAATGGAATGGATTGGAATAGAATGGAATTGAATGCGATGGACTCGAATGGAGTGGAATGGCCTCAAATGGAATGGAGTGGAATGGAACGGAGTCAAATGCATTAGAATGTAATTTACCGGATATGTCACTAATGCAATGACTCTAATGGAATAGAATGAAATGGACTCAAATGGAATGGAATGGAATGTACACTAATGGAATGGAATGAATGGAATGGAATGGACATGAAGGGAATAGAAAGGAATGGAATGGACTGGACTCGAATGAAACGGAATGGAAAGGACACGAATGGAATGGAATGGACTCGAATGGAAAGGAATGGAATGGAGAGAAATGGAATCGAATAGAATGCAGTTGAATGGAATGGACTAGAAAGGGATTGAATGGAAAGGAATGGAATGGAATGGAATGGAATGGAATGGAATGGAGTGGAATGGAATGGAATGGACTAGGAAGGAATGGAATGGAAAGGAATGGAATGGAAAGAAATGGAATCGAATATAATGTAGATGAATGGAATGGACTAGAAAGGAATGGAATGGAAAGGAATGGAATGGAATGGAATGGAATGGACTAGGAAGGAATGGAATGGAATCGAATGGAAGGGAATGGAATGGAATGGACTCGAATGTAATTTAATAGACTCGAATGAAATGGAATGGAATGGAATGGAATTGACTCGAGTGGAATGGAATTGAATGGAGTGGACAGGAATGAAATGGAACGCAATGGAATGCAATGGAATAGACTTGAAAGGAATGGAATGGAATGGACCCAAAGTAATGTAATGTAATGGAATCGAATGGAATGGAACTTACTCGAATGTAATGGCATGGAAAGAATGGACTCTAATGGAATGCAATGGAAAGGTATGGACTCGAATGGAATGGAATGGAATGGAGTTAAAGGGAATGGAATGGATTGAACTCGAATGGAATGGAATGGATTGGAATAGACTTAAATGGAAAGGAGAGGAATGCAATGGAATGTAATGGACTCGAATGGAATAACATGGAATATAAAGGACACGAATGTAACGGGATGGAATGGAATGGATTTAAATCTAATGGAATGGAATGGAATGCACCTCAATTGAGTGGAATGGAACGAATGGATTGGAATGGAATGGAATGGAACTGAATGGAATGGAATGGAATGGAACTGAATGGAATGGAATGGAATGGAATGCAATGGAATGTTATGGAACGGAATGGACTTGAATGGAATAGAATGGAATGAAATGGAATGTGCTCGAATGAAATGGAATCGAATGGACCCAAATGGAATGGAATTGAATGGAATGAATTCGAACGGAATGGAATGGAATGGAATGCAATGGACTCGAATGGAATGGAATGGAATGGACTCGAATAGAATTGATTGGAATGGAGTGGAAAGGAATGGACTCGAATCGAATGGAATGGACTTGAATGGAATGGAATGGAGAGGAATGGACCGGAATGGAATGGAATGAAATGGAATGGACTGGAATGCAAATCGAATGGAATGGAAGTGAGTTGAATGGAATAGAATGGAACAGAATGGACTGGAATCGAATGGAATTGAATGGAATGGACTCGAATGGAGTGGAATGGACTCAAATGGAATAGAGTGGAATGGAATGGAGTTGAATGCAATAGAATATAGTTTACCGGATTGGACACTAACACAAAGGACTCTAATAGAATGGAATGAAATGGACTCAAATATAATGGAATGGAATGGACACGAATGGCATGGAATGGAATGGAATTAAATGGACTGGACTGGAATGGAATGGAATGAATGGAATGGAATGGAATGGAATGGACTTGAATGGAATAGAATGGAATGGAATGGACTGGACTCAAATGAAATGGAATGGAATGGACACGAATGGAATGGAAGGGATTCGAATCGAATGGAGTGAAAAGGACGCGAGTGGAATGGAATGGAAAGGAATGGACTCGAATGGAATGGAATGGAATGGAATTGACTCGAATTGAATGGAATGGAATGGACTCGAAGGCAATGGAATGGATTTAAATTCACTTGAGTGGAAAAGAATGGAACGGAGTCGAATATAATGGAATGTACATGAAAGAAATGGAGTCGAATGGAATGGACTCAGGTGGAATACAGTTGAATGGATTCGAATGGAATGGAAGGAATGGAATGGACTCGAATGGAATGGAAAGGAATGGACTCCAATGGAATGGAATGGAATGGACTCGAATGGAATGGAATGGAATGGACTCAAATGGAATGGAATGGAATGGAATGGACTCGAATGGAATGGAATATAATGGACTCAAACCGAATGGAATGTAATGTAATGGACTCGAATGGAATGGAATGGAATTTAATGGAATGGACACTAATGGAATGTAATGGAATGGACTCGAATGGAAGGGAAAGAACTCGAATGGAATGGAATGTTATGAAATCAACTCGAGTGGAATGGAATGGAATGGACTCGAATGGAAAGGAATGGAATGGACTCGAATGGAAAGGAATGTAATGGACTCGAATGGAATTGAGTGGAATGAAATGGAATGGAATGGAATAGACTTGAGTGGAATGGAAAGGAATTGACACTAATGGAATAGAAAGGAATGGACTCCAATGGAATGGAATGTAATGGAATGGACTCGAATGGAATTGAGTGGAATTGAATCGAATGGAATGGAATGGAATGGAATAGACTCAAATAGAAAAGAATGTCATGGAATGGAATGGAATTGAATAGACTCAAATAGAAAAGAGTGTCATGGAATGGAATGGAATTGAATAGACTCAAATAGAAAAGAATGTCATGGTATGGAATGGACTTGAATGGAATGCAATTTAAAGGAATGAAAAGGACTCGAATGGAATTAAATGAAATGGACTCTAGAATGAAATGAAATGCCATAAAATGGAATAGAATGGAATGGAATGTACTCGAATAGAATGGAATGGACTCGAAAGAAATGGAATGGAATGGACTCTAGAATGGAATGGAATGCAATGCAATGGAATAGAATGGAATGGAATGGACTCGAAAGGAATGGAATGGATTGGAATTGAATGGAATGAAATTGTCTCGAACGGGATGGAATGGAAAGGAATGTACTCGAATGGGATGGACTGGACTCGAGTGGAATGAAAGGGAATGAAAATCACTCAAGTGGAATTGAATGGAATGGAATGGACTCGAGTGGATGGAATGGACCCAAATTCAATGCAATGTAAAGGAATGGGAGGGACTTGAATGGAATGGAATGCAATGGAATGGAATAGAATGGAATGGAATGGACTCGAAAGGAATGGAATGGATTTGAATGGAATGGACTCGAATGGCATGGAATGGAAAAAACCCGAATGGAATGGAATGGAAAAAAACCCTAATGGAATGGAATGGAATGGAAAGAAACGGACTCGAATGGAATGGAAAGGAATGGAATGGACCTGAACATAGAGGAATGGAATGGAATGGACCCGAATGGAATGGAATTGAATGGACCCGAATGGAATGGAATCTAAAGGAATGGCAAGGCATGGAATGGGATGGAATGGAATGGAATGGAATGGTATGGAATGGAATGGACTCTAATGGAATAGAATGGAACAGACTCTAATGGAATAGAATGGAATGGAATGGAATGGAATCAAAATTAATGGAATGGAATGGACTCAAATGGAATGGAATGCGCACGAATGGAATGGAATGAAATGGACCCGAATGGAATGGAATGGAATGGAATGGAATGGAATGGAATGCAGTTGAATTTAATGGACCCGAAAGGAATGGAATGGAATGGAATGGAACGAAATGGAATGGAATGGAATGGACTCAAATGGAGTGGAATGGAACAGAATGGACTCGAATGAAATGGAATGGACTTGAATCAAATTTAATGGAATGGAATGCATTTGAATGGAATTGAATGGAATGGACTTGAATGGAATGGAATGGACTCGAATGGAATGGAGTGGATTGGAAGCGACTCAAGTGGAATTGACTGGAATGGAATGGACTCGAATGAAATGGAATGTAATGGAATGGACTCGAATGGAACACAATGGAATGGAAGGGACTCGAACCGAATGGAAGGGACAAAAGCATGGAATGGAATGGACCTGAATGGTATGGAATGGAATGGAATGGAATGGAATGGAATGGAATGGAATGGACAAGAATGGAATGGAATGGAATGGAATGGAATGGAATGGAATGGAATGGAATGGAATGGAATGGAATGGAATGAAATGGAATGGACTCGATTGGAATGGAATGGAATGGAATGGACTCGAAAGTAATGGAATAGAATGGACTTGAATGAAATGGAATGGAATGGAATTGACTAGAACGGAATAGAATGGAATTTATTGGATTGGATTCTAATGGAATGGACTCTCATGGAATGGAATAGAATGGACTCGAATGGAATAGAATGGAATGGAATGGAATGGAATGGAAATGACTCGAGTGGAATGGAAAGGAATGGAATGGAATGGACTCGAATGGAATAGAATGGGATTTAATGGAATGGACTCTAATGGAATGGAATGCTATGGACTCGAATGGAATGCAATGGAATGGACTCAAATGGAATGAAAAGGAATGGAATGGCCTCAAATGGAATAGAATGGGATTTAATGGAATGGACTCTAATGGAATGGAATGTGATGGACTAGAATGGAATGCAATGGAATGGACTTGAATGGAATGGAATGGAATTCAATGGATTGATTGGAATGGAATGGAGTGGAATATACTTCATTGGAATGGAATGTACCCGAATGGAATGGAATGGAATGAATAGAACATGATGGAATTGAATGGACTTGAAGGCAATGGAATGGAATGGACTCCAATGGAATTGAATGGACTCGAATGGAATGGAGTGGAATTTAATTGAATGGAGTCTAATCGAATAGAATCTAATGGAATGCAAACAATCGTATCGAATGGAATATAATGGAATGGACTCGATTGGAATGGAATGCAATGGAATGGACTGGAATGGAATGAAGTGGAATGGACTGAAATTGAATGGAATGGTACTGAATTGTCTCAAAAGAAATGGAATGGAATGCAATTGAATGGACTCGAATGGAATGAAATGGAATTTAATCAAATGGAATTGAATGGAATGGATCCGAAAGGAATGGATTGGAATGGAATGGACTCGAATGGATTGGAATGGAATGGAGTGGAATGGACTCGAATGGAATGGAATGGAATGGACTCCAGTGGAATGGAATAGAAAGGACTGAAATGGAATGGAATGGACTTGAATGAAATGGACTTGAATGGAATGGAATTGAATGGAATGGACTCAAATGGAAGAGAATGGAATGGAATTGAATGGACTGGAATGGAATGGAATGAAATGGACTTGCATGGAAAGCAGATGAATTGAATTGAGTCAAAAGGAATGGAATGGAATGGAATGGATTGGAATGGAATAGAATGGAATGGACTCGAATGGAATGGATTGGACTTGAATGGAATGGAGTGGATTGGAATCGACTAGAATGGAATGGAGTGGAATACAATGGACTCGAAAGAAATGGAATGCAATGGAATGGACTCGAATGGAATGCAATGGAATGGAAGGGACTCAAATCAAAAGGAAGGGACAAGAATGGCACGGAATGGAATGGACCCGAGTGGAATGGAATGGAATGGAATGGACACAAATGGAATGAAATGGAATGGAATGAAATGGAATGGACTCGAATGGAATGCAATGGACTCGAAAAGAATGGTATGGAATGGACTCGAATGAAATGGAATGGAATGGAATGCACTCGATTGGAATAGAATGGAATTTATTGGATTAGACTCTAATGGAATGGACTGTCATGGAATGGAATGGAATAGACTAGAATGTAATAGAATGCAATGGATTGGACTCAAATGGAATGGAATGGAATGGACACGAATGGAATGGAATGGAATGGAATGGAATGGAATGCAATGGAATGGATTCGAATGGTATGTAATGGAAAGGAAATGACTGGAGTGCAATGGAGTGGATTCGAATGGAATGGAATGGAATGGAACGGAGTGGAATATAATGGACTCGAAAGGAATGGAATGCAATGGAATGGAATGGAATGGACACGAATGGAATTGAATGCAATGGAAAGTAATGGACTCGAATGGAATAGAATGGAATGGAATGGACCAGAATGGAGTGGAATGGAATGGAATGGACTCGAATGGAATGGAATGGAATGGAATGGAATGGAATGGTATGGAAAGGAATGTACTTGAATGAAACAGAATGGAATGGAATGGAATGGAATGGACTCGACGGGAATGGAATGAAATGGACTCGAATGGCATGGAATGGACATGAATGGAACAGAATGGAATGGAATGTACTCGAATGGAATACACTGGGATTTAATGGAATGGACTCTAACGGAATGGAATGGAATGGACTTGAATGGAAGAGAATGGAATACACTCGAATGGAATGGAATGCAATGGAATGGAATCAAATTGAATGAAATGGAATGGACTTGAATGGAATGGAATGGAATTGAATGGATTCAAAAGGAGTGGGATGGAATACAATGGAATGGACTCGAATGGAATGGAATGGAATGTACTGTAATGGAATGGAATGCAATACAATGGAGTCGAATTGAATGGAATGGAATTGTTTAAAATGGAATTGAATGGAATGGATCCGAAAGGAATGGAATGGAATGGAATGGAATGGAATGGAATGGAATGGAATGGACTCGAATGGTATGCAATGGAATGGAATGGGCTCAAATGGAACGGAATGAAATGGAAAAGTATGGAAAGGAATAGAATGGAATGGAATGGAATGGAATGGATTTGAATGGAAAGGACTCGAATGGAATGGAATGGAATGGAATGGAATGGACTGAAATGGAATAGCATGAAATGGAATGGACTCGAATGCAATGGAATGGAATGGCCTCGAATGGAATGGAATGGACTCAAACGGAATGGAGGTGAAAGGACTCGTATTGAATGCAATGGCATTTAATATACTCGAATGGAATGGAATGTAACATAATGGTATGAACTCGAATGGAATGGAATGTAACGGAATGGTATGAACTCGAATGGAATGGAATGGAATGGAGAGAAATGTGCTCGAATTGATTGGAATGGAATGGAGTGGACAAGAATGGAATGGAATGGAATGGAATGGAATGGAATGGAATGGAATGGACACAAACGGAATGCAGTTGAATTGAATGGATCCGAAAGGAATGGAATTGATGGAATGGAATGCAATAGACTCGAATGGAATGGAATGGAATGGACTCGAATGGAATGCAATGGACTCAAATGGAATGGAATGGAATGGAATGGAAAGGATGCGAATGGAATGGTATGGAATGCACACAAATGGAATGGAATATTACGGAAAGGAATGGAATGGAATGGAACCAAATGGAGTGGAATGGAATGGAATAGACTCGAATGGAATGGAATGGACCCGAATGGAATGGAATGGAATGGAATGGAATGGAGTAGCATGGAATGGAATGGAATCGAATGCAATGAATTGGAATATACTCGAATTGAAAGGAATGGACTCAAACAGAATGCAGTGGAATGGACTCTAATGGAATGGAATGGAATTGAGTGGACTCGAATGGAATGGAATGGAATGTAACGGAATGGAATGAACTCGAATGGAATGGAATGGAATGGAATGAAATGGACTCGAATGGAATGGAATGGAAAGGACTCGAAAGGAATGGAATGGAATGGACTTGAAAGGAATGGAAAGGAATGGAATGGAATGGAATGGAATGCAATGGAATGGAATGGAATGGAATAGACACGAATGGAATGTAGTTGAATTGAATGGACCCGAAATGAATGGATTGGAATGGAATGGAATGGAATGGAGTGGAATGGAATGAAAGGGACTCGAATGGAATGGAATGGAAAGGAATGGACTCGAATGAAACGGAATGTACCCAAATGTAATGTAATGGAATGGAATCGAATTGATTGGAATGGTATGGAAAGGAATGGAATGGACTCGAATGGAATGGAATTTAGTGGAGTGGACTCAAAGGGTGTGCAATGGAATGGAATAGATTCCAATGGAATGGAATGGAATGGAATGGAATGGAATGGAATGGATTGGATGGATCTCGAATGGAATGGAATGGAATGGAATGGAATGGAATGGAATGGAATGGACTCGAATGGTTTGGATTGGAGTGGTATGCAATGAAATGAAACATAGAGTAATGGAATGGAATGGATTGGAATGGAATGGAATGGAAAGGAATGGAACAGAATGGAATGGAATGGATTGGAATTGAATGGAATAGAATGGAGTGGATTCGAATGGAATGGAATGAACTAGAATGGAAAGGAATAGAATGGAATGTACTCGAATGGAATAGAATGGAATTGACTTGAATGGAATTGAATGCAATGAACTCCAACGGAATAGAATGGACTTGAACGGAAGTAAATGGGATGGAAACTACTCGAGTGGAATGGAATGGAATGGAATGGAATGGAATGGAATGGAATGCACAAGAATGGAATGGAATGGAATTGACTCAAATGGAATAGAGAGGAATGGATTCGATTAGAACGGAATGGAATGGAATGGACTCGAACGCATAGGAAGGGAATGGACTCAAATTGAAGGAAAAGGAATTTAATGGACTCAAATCGAATGGAATGTAATGTTATGGAATGGACTCGAATGGAGTGGACAGGAATGGAGTCGAATGGAATGTAATGTTATGGAATGGACTCGAATGGAGTGGACAGGAATGGAGTCAAATGGAATGGAATGCACTCGAATGGAATGGAAGGGAATGGACCCGAATGGAATCGAGTGGAATGGAATGGAATGGAATGGAATGGAACGGAATGGAATGGAATAGAATGGAATGCAATGCAATGCAATGCAATGCAATGGAATGGTATGGATTGGAATGGATTCAATGAAATAGAATGGGATGGAATGGAAAGAATTCAAAAGGAATGGAATGGAATGTAGTCCAATGGAATGGAAAGACCACAAATTGAATGGAATGGAATAGAATGGACTCAAATGGAATTGATGGGAATTTAATGGAATGGACTCTAAAGGAATGGAATGGAATGCTCTCAAATGGAAAAAATGGAATGGAATGGAATGGACTCTAAAGGAATGGAATGGAATGCTCTCAAATGGAAAAGAATGGAATGGAATGGAATGGACTCGAATGGAATACAATGGAATGGACTCGAATGGAAAAGAATGGAATGGAGTCAAATTGAATGGAGTGGAATGGAATGGACTAGAATGGAATTGAGTGGAATGGACTCGAATAGAATGGAATGGAAGGGAAAGGACAGGAAAGGAATGAAATGTAGTGGAATGGAATGGAATAGAATGGAATGGAATGGAATGGAATGGAATGGAATGGAATGGAATGGAATGGAATAGAATGGAATGGAATGGAATAGAATGGAATGGAATGGATTGAAATCGAATGGAATGGAATGGAAAGGACACGAATGGAATGCAATGGAGTGGACGCAAGTTGAATGTAATGAAATGGAATAGACTCGAAAGGAAACGAATGGAATGGAATGGCATGGACTCGAATTGAATGGAATGGAATTGAAAGGAATCGAAGGGAATGGAATGGAATGGACTCGAATGGAATGGTTTGTAATGGCATCAAATGGAATGGAATGGACTCTAATGAAATGGAATGGACCCAAAAGGAATGGAATGGAATGGAATGGAACGGAATGGAATGGAATGGAATGGAATGGAATGGAATGGAATGGAACAGAATGGAACGGAATGGAATGGAATGGAATGGAATGGAACGGAACGGAACGGAATGGAATGGAATGGAATGCAGTGGAATGGAATGGTATGTATTGGAATGGACTTCAATGGAACAGAATTGGATGGAATGGAAAGAATTCAAAAGGAATGAAATGGAATGGAGTCCAATGGAATGGAAAGGCCACGAATGGAATGGAATGGAATGGAAAGGACACGAATGGAATAGATTGGAATTTAATGGAATGGACTCTAAAGGAGTGGAATTGAATGCTCACAAATAGAAAAGAATAGAAGGGAATGGAATGGACTCAAATGGAATGCAATGGAATGGACTCGAATGGAAAAGTATGAAAGGGAGTCAAATTGAATGGAGTGAAATGGAATGGACTAGAATGGAATTGAGTGGAATGGACTCCAGTAGAATGGAATGGAAGGGAAAGGACAGAAATGGAATGAAATGGAACGGAATGGAATGGAATAGCATGGAATGGAATGGAATGGAATGGAATGGAATGGAATGGAATGGAATACAATAGAATGGAATGGAATGGATTGAAATAGAATGGAAAGGAATGGAATGGACTCGAGGGAATGCAATGGAATGGACCCAAGTGGAATGTAATGAAATGAAATAGACTCGAAAGGAAAGCAATGGAATGGAATGGACTCGAATGGAATGGAATGGAATGGAATGGAAATGAATGGACTCGAATGGAATGGAATGGAATGGACTCGAATGGAATGGTTTGTAATGGCATCGAATCGAATGGAATGAACTCTAATCAAATGGAATGGACACAAAAGGAATGGAATGGAATAGAAAGGAATGGAATGGAATAAAATGGAATGGAATGGAGAGGAATGGAATGGAATGGAATGGAATGGAATGGAATGGAATGGAATGGAATGGAATTGATTGGAATGGAATGGAATGGAATGGAATGGAATGGAATTGATTGGAATGGAATGGAATGGAATGGAATGGACTCAAATTGAATGGAATGCACTCGAATGGAATGAAATGAAATGGAATGGGCTCGAATGGATTAGAACAGAATTTACTGGATTGGAATACAATGGAATGGACTCTAATGGAATGGAATGGAATGGAATGCAATAGAATCAAATAAAATGGAATGGGATGGACTCGAATGGAATGGAATGGACATGAATGGAATAGAATGGAATGGAATGGAATGGACTTGAATCGAATAGTATGGAATTGAATGGAATGGACTCGAATGAAATGGAAGGGAATGGACTTGAATGGAATGGAGTGGACTCGAGTGGAATAGAATGGAATCAATGGACTCGAGTGGAATGGAATGGACTCGAATGGAATGCAATGGAATGGAATGGAATAGACTTGAATGAAATGGAATGAGTGGAATTGCATCGAACGGAATGGAATAGATTGCACTCGAATGGAATGGAATGGATACGAAAGGAATGGAATGGAATGGACACAAAAGGATTGGAATGGAATAGACTCGAAAGGGATGGAATACAATGGAATGGAATCGAAAGAAATGGAATGGAATTGACTCGAATGGAATCGAATGGAATAGAATAGACCCGAATGGAATGGAATGGACTCGAATCAAATGGAATGGAATGTACTCGAATGGAGTGGAAAGGACTCGAATGGAAAGGAATGGAATGGTATGGACTCGAAAGCAATGGAGTGGAATGGAGTTGAATGGAATGGAAAAAAAATTCATGGACTCAAATCGAATGGAATGTAATGGTATGGAATGGAATGGCATGGAATGGAATGGAATGGAATGAAATGGACTCCAATGGAATGGAATGGAATGGAATGAACCCTCATGGAATGGAATGGAGTGGAATAGAATGGAATGGAGTGGAATAGAATGGAATGGAATGGAATGGAACGGAATGGAATGGAATGGAATGGAATGGAATGGAATGGAATGGAATTGGATGGACTCATATGGAATGGAATGGAATGGACACGAATGGAATGGAATGGACACGAATGGAGTGGAATGGAATGGAAATGACTCGAGTGGAATGGAATGGAATGGAATGGAATCAAATGGAATGGAATTGACTCCATTGGAATGGAATGGAATGGAACCGAATGGAATGGAATGGAATGGAACAGAATGGACGCGAATGGAATGGAAGGGAATGGAACTGAATGGACCAGAATGGAGTGCAATGGAATGGAATGCACTCGAATGGAATGAAAAGGAATGTACCCGAGTGGAAAGGAGTGGAATGGAATGCAATGGAATGGAATGGAATGGAATGGGATGGTATGGATTGGAAAGGACTTGAATGGAATAGAATGGGAAGGAATGGAATGATTTCAAAAGGAATGGAAAGAAATGAACTCCAAAGGAATGGAAAGGCAACGAATTGAATGGAATGGAGTGGACCGGACGCAAATGGAATATATTGGAATTTAATGGAATGGACTATAATGGAATGGAATGGACTCTAATGGAATAGAATGGAATGGAGTCGCATGGAATGGATTGGAATGGAATAGAATTGTGTGGAATGGAATGGACTCGAATGGAATGGAGTGGAATGGACTCAAATGCAATGGAATAGAATGGACTTGACTGGAATGGAATGGAATGATTTGGACTCGAATTTAATGGACTGGAATGGGATGGAATGGAAAGGAATGGAATGGAATGGACTCGAATGGAATGGAATGGAATGGACTCGAAAGGAATGGAAACGACAGGAACAAAATGTAATGGAATTTACTCGAATCGAATGGAAAGTAATGGAATGGAATGGAATGGAATAGACTTGAATGGAAATGAATGGAGTGGAATGGACTCAAATGGAATGGAATGGAATAGAAGGGATTCGAACGGAAGGGAATGGAATGTACTCAAATGAAATGGGTTGGAATGGAATGGCCATGAATGGAATGGAATGGAATAGAATCAAATGGTATCGAATTGAATGGAATGGACTGGAATGGAATGAAATGGAATGGATGCCAATGGAATGTAATGGACTCGAATGGAATGGAACAGAACAGAATGGACTCAAATGAAATAGAACGGAATAGAATGTAATGTACTAGAATGGAATGGAGTGGAATGGAATGGACTCGAATGGAATAGAATGGAGTGACATGGAATGGTCTCGAATGAAATGGACATGAATGCAATGGAATGGACTTGAATGGAATGGAAAGGAATTCACCCAAATGGAATGGAATGGAATGGAAAGGAATGGAATGGAATGGAATGGATTGGAATGGAATGAAATGGAGTGGAATGGACTTGAATGGAATAGTATGGAATGGAATGGAAAGGACACAAAGGGAATGGAATGGACTCGAATGAAATAGAATGGAATGGAATGGAAAGGAATGTTGTGGAATGGAATGGACTCCAGTGGTATGGAATGGAAGGGACTCGAATGGAATGGAATGGAATGGACTCGAATAGAATTGAAAGGAATGGACCAGATTGGAATGTACTGGAATGGAATAGAATGGAATGTACTGGAATGTAATGGAATGGAATGTACTGGAATGGAATGGAATTGAATGGAATGGAATGGAATGGAATGGGAGAGAATGGAATGGAATGGAATGGACTCGAAGGGAATGGAATGGAATGGACTCAAATGGAATGGAAAGGACTCGAATGGAATGGAATGGAATTTAATTGAACGGACACTAATGGAATGGAATCTAATGGAATGGAATGGACTCTAACTGAATAGAATGGAATGGACTCTAATAGAATGGAATGCAATGGAATAGACTCGAAAGGAGTGGAATGTCATGGATTCAAATGGAATGGAAAGGAATTGAATTGTCTCGAAAGGAGTGGAATGGAATACAATGCAATGGACTCGAATGGAATATAATGGAACTGACTGGAAGGGAATAGAATGGAATGCACCCGAATGGAATGTAATGGAAACGAATGGACTTGAATTATATGGCATGGAATGGAATAGAATCGAATGGAATGGAATGCATTTGAATGATCTCAAAAGGAATGGTATGGAATGCAATGGAAAGGGCTTGAATGGAATGGAATGGAACTGACCCGAAGAGAATAGAATAGAATGGACCTGAATGGAATGGAATGGAATTGAATGGATTAGAGGGGAATGAAATGGAGTGGAATGCACTCGAATTGATTGGAATGGAGTGAAATGGAAAGGACTTGAATGGAAAGGAATTGAATGGACTGGAATGGAAAGGAATGGAATGGACTCGAATGGAATGCAAAGGAATAGACTCGAATGGAATAAAAATGAATGGACTCGAATAAAATGGAATGGAAGGGAATGGAATGGACTCGAATGGAATGGAATGGAATGGACTCGAATGGAATGGAATGGAATGGACTCGAATGGAATGGAATGGACACAAAGGGAATGGAATGGAATGGAATGGACTTCAATCGAACAGAATGTAATGTTATGGAATGGACTAGAATGGAACGGAATGAAATGGAGTCGAATGGATTTGCATGGAATGGAATGGAATTGAATGGAATGGAATGGAATGGAATTTAATGGAATAGAATGGAATGGAATGGACTCGAATGGAATGGAATGGAATGGAATGGACTCGAGAGGAATGGAATTGAATGGAATGGAATGGACACGAATGGAATGGAATGGCATGGACTTGAATGGAATGGAATGGACTCAAAAGGAATGTAATGGAATGGAAACAACTAGAGTGGACAGGAAAGGAATTGAATGGAATGGAATGGACATGAATGGAATGGAGTGGCATGGACTTGAACGGAATGGAATGGACTCGAAAGGAATGGAATGGAATGGAAACAACTAGAGTGGACTGGAATGGAATGGAATGGACTGGAATGGAATGGAATGGAATGGAATAGAATGGAATGGACTTGAATGGAATGGAATGGAATGGACTAGAATGAAATGGAATGGAATGGATTGGAATGGAATGGACTCGAATTGAATGGAATGGAAGCAACCCGAATGGAATGGAATGGAACGGAATGGAATGGAATGGAATGGAATGGAATGATGTGGAATGGAATGGATTTGAATGGAATAGAATGGAATGGAATGGAATGGACTCGAAAGGAATTGAAAGGAATGGACTCGAATGGAATGGAATGGACACAAACAGGAATGGAATGTAACGGAAAGGACTCGAATGGAATACAATGGAATTCAATGGAATTGACTCTAATGGAATGGAATGGAATGGACTCGAATGGAATAGAGTGGAATGCACTGGAATGGAATGGAATGGAATGGAATGGACTCAAAAAGCATGTAATGGAATACAATGGAATGGAATCAAATGGAACAGAATGGAAGGCATTCGAATGGAATGGAATGCAATGGAATGGACTCAAATGGAATGGAATGGAAAGGACTCGAATGCAATGGACTGCAATGGAATGGACTCGAATGCAATGGAATGGAATTGACTCAAACGAAATTGAATGGAATAGACCCAAATGGAATGGAATGAATGGAATGGACTCAAATGGAATGGAATGGAATAGAGTGGCATGTGCACGAATGGAATGGAATTGGATGGAATGAATTCGAATGGAATCGAATGGAATGGACTCGAATGAAATGGGTGGAAATGGAATGGATTCGAATGGAATGAATTGCAATGGACTCAAATGGAAGGGAATGGAATGGATTGGAATGGAATACAATGGAATGGAATAGAATGGAACGGAATGGACTCAAATGGAATGGTATGGTATCGAATGGAATGGAATGGAATGGACTCGGATGGAATGGAATGGATTCGAAAGGAATGGAATGGAATTGAAACGAAGTGTCTGGAATGGAATGGAATGGTATCGAATGGAATGGAATGGAATGGACTCGGATGGAATGGAATGGATTCGAAAGGAATGGAATGGAATTGAAACGAAGTGTCTGGAATGGAATGGAATGGAATGGAATGGAATGGAATGGAATGGACACGAATGGAATGGAATGGAATGAAATGAACTCGAATGGAATGGAATGCAATGGACCTTAAAGGAATGGAATGGAATGGAATGGAAAGGAGTCAAATGGAATTGAATATAATGGACTGGAGTGGAATGGAATGGAATGGAATGGACTCGAATGGAATGGAATGGAATGGACTCGACTGGAATGGAATGGAATGGAATGGAATGGAATGATGTGGAATGGAATGGACTTGAATGGAATAGAATGGAATGGAATGGAATGGAATGGACTCGAAAGGAATGGAATGGATTCGAATGGAATGGAATGAAGATGAATGGAATGGAATGGAATGGATTCGAATGGAATGGAATGGAGACGAATTGAATAGAATGGAATGGAATGGACTTGAATGGAATACAATGTAATTTAATGGAATGTGATGGACTCTAATGGAATGTAATGGAATGGACTCGAATGGAATAGAATGGAATGGATGCCAATGGAATGGTATGCAATGGAATGGACTAGAATGGAATGGAATGGAATTGAACCGTCTCAAAAGGAATGGAATGGAATGCAATGGAAAGGACTCGAATGGAATGGAATGGAATTGATTTGAATGGAATTGAAAGGAATGGAACCGAAAGGAATGGATTGGAATGGAATGGACTCGAATGGAATGGAATGGATCTGAATGAACTCTAATGGAATGGAATGTAATAGAGTGGAATGGAATGGACTCAAATGGAACAGAATGGAAAGAACTTAAATCAAATAGAACGGAATGGAATGGACTCGAATGGAACGGAATGGACACGAATGGAATGGAATTCAATGGAATGGAATCGAATGGAATAGAATAGAATGGAATGGAATGTACTCGAAAAGAATGGAATGTAATGGAATCGAATGGAATAGAATGGAATGGATTCGAATGGAATGGAGTGCTATGGAATGGACCCGAATTGAATGGAATGGAATGGAATGGAATCGAATGGAATGGAATGGAATGGAATGGAATCGAATTGAATGGAATGGAATGGAATGGAATCGAATGGAATGGAATGGAATGGAATGGAATCGAATGGAATGGAATGGAATGGAATCGAATGGAATGGAATGGAATGGAATCCAATGGAATGGAATGGAATGGAATGGTCTCGAATAGAATGGAATGGAATGAACCTGAATGAAATGGAAAGGAATGGAATGGAATGGTCTCGAATAGAATGGAATGGAATGAACCTGAATGAAATGGAAAGGAATGGAAAGGAATGGACTCGAATGGAATGGAATGAATTGGAATGAACCAGAATGGAATGGAATAGAATGGAAAGAAATGGAGGCGAATGGAATGCAGTGGAATGGAATGGACCCGAATGGAGCGGAATGGAATTTAATGAAGTCCAATGGAATGGAATGGAACTGACACGAATGGAATGGGATCGATTGGAATGGAAACGAATGGAATGGAATGGAAAGGAATGAAATGGAATGGTAAGCTATGGAAAGGAAAGCACATGAATGGAATAGGATGGAATGGAATGGAAACGAATTGAATGGATTGGAAAGGACACGAATGCAATGGAATGCAATGGAATGGAATGGAATGGAAAGGATTGGAATGGTATGGAATGCAATGGAATGGAATGGACTTGAATGGAATAGAATGGAATGGAATGGAATGGACTCGAAAGGAATACAATAGAATTTAATGTAATGGACTCTAATGGAATGGAATGGAATGGACTCCAATGTAATAGAATGGAATAGACGCGGATGGAATGGAATGCAATGGAATGGAATCGAATGGAAAGGAATGGAATGGAATCCAATGGAATTGAATGGACTCGAAAGGAATGGAATGGAATGGACTCGAATGGAATGGAATGGAATGGACTCGAATTGAATGGAATGGAATGGAATGGACTCGAATGGAATGGAATGGAATTGACTCTAATGCAATTGAATGGAGTGAACCCGAGTGGAATGGATTGGAATGGAATGGACTCGAATTGAATGGAATGGAATGGTTTGGGCTCGGAATGGAATGGAATGGAATGGATTCAAATGGAATGGAATGGAATGGACTCAAATGGAATACATTGGAATGGAATGGACTCGAATGCAATGGAATGGAATGGACTCGAATGGAATGGAATGGACTCGAACGGAATGGAGTGGAATGGACTCGAATGGAATGGAACGGAATTGAATTGACTCGAATGGAATGGAATGTAACAGAATGGAATGAACTCGAACGAAATGGAATGTAATGGAATGAAATGGACTCGATGGAATGGAATGGAATGGAATGGACTTGAACGGAATGGAAGGGATTGGAACGGAATGGAATGGAATGGAATGGTATGCAATCAAATGGAATGCATTTGAATTGAATGGACCCGAAAAGAATGGAAAGGAATGGAATGGAATGGAATGGAATGGAATGGAATGGAATGGAATCGAACGGAACTTAGTGGAATGAAGTGGACTTGAATGAAATGGAATGGAATGGACTCGAACGAACTGGAATGGACTCAAATGGAATGGAATAGATTGGAGTGGAATGGAATGGAATAGATTCGAATGAAAGGGAATGCAGTGGAATGAACTCGAATGGCATGCAATGTAATGGAATAGACTCGAATCGAATGGATTGGAGTGGACTTGAATGGAATGGAATGGAATGGAGCCAAAAGGAATAGAACGGAATGGAATGAAATGAAATGTAATGGAATGGAGAGGAATGGAATGGAATGGAATGGAATGGACTCAAATGGAATGGAATGGAATGCAATGGACTCAAGTGGAAATGAATGGAATTGAATGGAAGGGACTCAAATGAAATGGAATGGAATGGACTCGAATGTAATGGAATGGACTCGAATAGATTGGAATGGAATGGAATGATCTCGAATGGAATGGAATGGAATGGACTCAAGTGGAATGGAATGGAATGGACACGAATGGAGTTGAATTGAATGGAATGGACTCGAATGTTATGGAATGGAATGGACATGAATGGAATGGAATGGAATGGACTGTTATAGAATGGAATGGAAAGGAATTCACCAGAATGGAATGGACTCGAATAGAATGGAAAGGTCTCGAGTGGAAAGGAATGGAACGGAATGCACTCGAATGGAATGGAGAGGAGTGGATTCGAATGGAATGGAATGGAATGGAATGGATTTGAGTCGGAGGGAATGTAATGGTATGGAATGGACTCGAGTGGAATGGACTCGAATGGAATGGAATAGACTCGAATGGAATGGAATGGACTCGAATGGAATGGAATGCAATGGAATGGACTCGAATGGAATGGAATGGAATTGACTCGAGTGGGATTGAATGGATTGGACCTGAATGGAATGGATTGGAATGGAATGGACTCGAATTGAATGGAATGGAATGGATTGTGCTAAAATGGAATGGAAT
Source organism: Homo sapiens (assembly GCF_000001405.40). Taxonomy (NCBI): domain Eukaryota; kingdom Metazoa; phylum Chordata; class Mammalia; order Primates; family Hominidae; genus Homo; species Homo sapiens. The sequence continues at coordinate 23,608 of NT_187392.1, read as the reverse complement.
GGAATGGAATGGAATGGAATGGAATGGAATGGAATGGGTTCGAATTGAATGGAATGGAATGGACTCAAATGGAATAGCATGGAATGGAATGGACTCGAATGCAATGGAAAGGAATGCACTCGAATGGAATGGAATGGACTCAAAAGCAATGGAGTGGAATGGAATCGATTGGAATGGAATAGAATTGAATGGACTCGAATGGAATGGAATGTAACGGAATGGAATGAACTCGAATGGAATGGAATGTAGTGGAATGAAATGGACTCGAATGGAATGGAATGGAATGGACTCGAATGGAATCATCATCGAATGGAATCGAATGGAATCATCGAATGGAACAGAATGGAATCATCATCGAATGGAATCGAATGGAATTATTGAATGAAATCGAATTGAATCATCATCGAATGGAATTGAATGGAATCATCATCGAATGGAATTGAATGGAACCATCAACGAATGTAATCAAATGGAATCATCGAACAGAATCTAATGGAATCATCATCGAATGGGACAGAATGGAATCATCATCAAATGGAACCTAATGGAGTCACCACCGAATTGAATCGAATGGAGTCATCATCAAATGGAAACAAATGAATCGTCATCGAATGGAATCATCATCGAATGGAACTGAATGGAACGATCGACTGGAATAGAATAGAATGAACATCGAATGGAATCAATGGGAATAATCAAATGGAATCGAATGGTATCATCGAACAGAATTGAAAGGAATCATCAATTGGACTCGAATGGAATCATCACCAAATTGAATTGAAAGGAATCTTCGAATGAACTCTAATGGAATAATCATCGAATGGAATGGAATGGAATCATTGAATGGACTCTAATGGAAACATCATTGAATGAAATCGAATGGAATCATCAAACGGAAACGAATGGAATAATCATCATATGGAATCGAATGGAATTATCAAATGGAATCGAATGGAATCATCATTGAATGGAATAGAGTGGGATCACAGAATGGTATCGAATGGAATCATCATCAAATGGAATCAAATGGAATCTTCGAATGGACTCGAATGGAATCATCATTGAATGGAGTCGAATGGAATGATCATCGAATAGAATCGATTGGAATCACCGAATGGAATCGAATGGAATCATCATCAAAAGGAATCGAAGTGAATCATCAAATGGAATCGAAAGGAATCATCGAATGGAATCAAATGGAATCATCATCGAATGGAATCGAATAGAATAATCATCAATTAATGGAATTGAATGGAATCATCGAATGGAAACTAATGGAATCATCATCGAATGGAATCGAATGGAATCGTCATCAAATGTAATTGAATGGAATCATCAAATGGAATCGAATGGAATCATCATCAAATGGAATCGAAGTGAATCATCAAATGGAATCGAATGGAATCATCAAATGGAAACGAATGGAATCATCATCAAATTTACTCTAATGGAATCATCATCAAATGGAATCGTATGGAGTCATCGAATGGACTCGAATGAAATCATCAAATGGGCTTGAAAGGAATCATCAATGGAATCGAATAGAATCATCAAAAGTAATCGAATCTAATTATCATTGAATGGAATCGAATGGAATCATCATCGAATGGAAACGAATTGAATAATAGAATGGAATCGAATGAAATCATCGAATGGACTCGAATGGAATCATCATCGAACGGAATTAAATGGAATCATAGAATGGAATTGGAAGGAGTCATCATCAAATGCAATCGAATGGAGTCACCATTGAATGGAAACGAATGGAATCATCATCGAATGGAATCGAATGGACTCATCGAATGAACTCAAATGGAATAATCATCGAATGGACATGAATGGAATCATTGAATGGCATCGAATGGAATGATCATCGAATGGAATCGAATGGAATCATCATCGAGTAGAATCGAATGGAATCATTGAGTGGACTCGAATGGAATCATCATCAAATGGAATTGAATGGAATCATGGAATGGACTCGAATGGTATCATCATCTAATGGAAACTAACGGAATCTTTGAATGGACTCGAATGGAATGATTGAATGCAAGCGAATGGAATCATTAAACGGACTTGAGTGGAATCATCATCTAATGGAATTGAATGGAATCATCATCAAAATGAATCGAAGGGAATAATCATGGAATGGAATTGAATGGAATAATCATTGAAAGGAATCATCTAATGGAATTGAATGGAATCATCATTGAATGGAGTCATCATCGAATGGAATCGAATGGAAGCATCAACAAATGTAATCAAAAGGAGTCATCATCAAATGGAATGGAAAGGATTCATCAAGGAATGGCATTGAATGGAACAATCATCGAACGGAAATGAATGGAATTATGGAGTGCACTCAAATGGAATCATCATCGAATGGAATCAAATGGTATCATTGAATGGACTCAAAAGGAATCATCATTGAATGGAATCGAATGGAATCATTGAATGGACTTTAATGGAATCATCATCGAATGGAATCGAAAGGAATCATCAAATGGACTCGATTGGAATCATCATCGAATGGAATGGAATGGAATCATCGAATGGAATCATCAACAAATGGAATTGAATGGAATCATCGAATGGAATAGAATGGAATAATCATCAAATGGAATCGAATGGAATCATTGAATGGGCTCAAATGGAATCATCATCAAATGGAATTGAATGGAATCATCGAATGGCAGTGAATGTAACCATCATCTAATGCAATGGAATGGAATCATCGAATGGAATCATCGAATGGACTCGAATGGAAATATCATCGAATTGAATCGAATGGAATACTCATGGAATTGAATAGAATGGACTCATCATCAAATAGAATCGAATGCAATCATCAAATGGAATCAAATGGAAACATCAAATGAACTCAAATGGAATCATAGAATGGAATCGAATGGAATCATTGCATGGAATCATCATCGAATGGATTCGAATGGAATCATCGAATAGACTCGAATGCAATTGTCATCGAATGGAACTGAACAGAATCATTGAATGGACTCGAATGGAATCACCATCAAATGGAATCGAATGGAATCATCATTGAATGAAATCGAATGGAATCATCATTGAATGAAATCGAATGGAATCATTGAATGGCATCGGATGGAATCACCATTGAATGGAATCAAATGGAATCATCGAATGGCCTCGGATGGAATCATCATTGATTGGAATCACATGAAATCATCGAATGGAATCGAATGGAATGATCATCAAATGGAATCGAAGGGAATCATCGAATGGAATAGAATGGAATCATCGAATGGAATCTAATAGAATCATCGAATGGATCCGAATGGAATCATAATCTAATGGAATCGAATGGAATCTTTGAAAGGACTCGAAAGGAATAATCATTGAATGGAATCGAATGGAATCATCGATGGACTCGAATAAAAACATCATCGAATGAAATCGAATGGAAAAATCGAAAGGAATCAAATGAAATCATCATCGAATGGAATCATCTCATGAACTGGAATGGAATCTTCATTGAAAGGAATCGAATTGTGTCATAGAATGGACACGAATGGAATCCTCATGGAATAGAATCAAATGGAATCATCGAATGGACTCGAATGGAATACTCATCACATGGAATCGAATGCAATCATCGAATGGAATGCAATGCAATCATCATCGAATGGAAATTAATGGAATAATCGAATGGAATTGAATAGAGTCACCATCAAATGGATTCGAAAAGAATCATCATCCAAAGGAATCGAATGGAATCAACAAATGGAATCGAATGGAATCATCATCTAATGGAATCAAATGGAATTATCGAATGGAATCGAATGGAATCATCATCGAATTGAATAGAATGGAATCATCATCGAATGGAATTGAAAGGAATCATCATCTAAAGGAATCGAAGTGAATCATTGAATGGAATAGAAAGAAATCATCGAATGGAATCCAATGGAATCATCATCAAATGGACTTGAATGGAAACTTCATCGAATGGAATCATCAAATGGACTCGAATGGAATCATCAAATGGAATCATATAGAATCATCAAACGGAATCGAATGAACCATCATTGAATGGAATGGAATGGAAACGTCAAATGGACTCGAATGAAATCATCATCAAATGGAATCAAATGGAATCAGTGAATGGAATTGAATGCAATCATAATCGAATGGAATCATCGAATGGAATCGTATGGAATCATCATCGAATGGAATCAAATGGAATCATCAAATGGCATCGAATGAAATCATCATCGAATCGAATCGAATGGAGTCATCTAATGGATGCGAATGGAATCATCATCGAATGAAAATGAATGGAATAATCAAATGGACACGAATGGAATTTTCATTGAATGGAATTGAATGGAATCATCATCAAACGGAATTGATTTGAATCCTCATCGGATGGAATCGAATGGAATCATCAAATGGAATAGAAAGGAATCATCATCGAATGGAATTGAATAGAAACATTGAATGAAAACAAATGGAGTCATCATCGAATGGAATCAGAATCGAATGGAATATAATGGAATCATCAACAAATGGAATCAAATGGAATCATCATCGAATGGAATCGAATGGAATCATCAACAAATGGAATCCAATGGAATCATCATCAAACGGAATGGAATGGAATGATCAAATGGGCTCGAATGGAATCATTGAATGGACTCGAATGGAATCATCATCGAAAGGAATCTAATGGAAACATTGAATGGACTTGAATGGAATCATCATTGGATGGAATTGAATGGAATCATCAAATGGACTCAAATGGAATCATCGAATGGACTCTAATGGAATCATCGAATGGACTCGATTGGAATCATCATTGAATGGAATCGAATGGAATCATCAAATGGACTTGAATGAAATCATCATCGAATGAAATGGAATGGAATCATCATCGAATGGAATCGAGTGGAATCATCATCGAATGGAATCAAATGGGATCATCATCGAATGGAATCAAATGGGATCATCATCGAATGGAGTTGAATGGAATTATCAAAGAATGGAATCCAGTGGTATCATCATCAAATGGAACCGAATGGAATCATCAAATGGACTCAAATGGAATCATTGAATAGATTCGAATGGAATCATCATCGAATGAAATCGAATGGAAAAATTGAATGGACTCGAATGGAACCATCATTGAATGGAAACCAAAGGAATCATCATCTAATGAAATGAAATGGAATCATAGAATGGACACAAATGGAATCATCATCGAATGGTATTGAATGGAATCATCGAAAAGAATCGACGGAATCATGATCAAATGGACTCGAATGGAATCATCATGGAATGGAATCAAATGGAATCATCAATGAATGGAATCCAATGGTATCATCATCAAATGGAACCGAAAGGAATCATCAAGTGGACTCAAATGGAATCATCGAATGGAATCGAATGGAATCATCATCGAATGGAATCGAATGGAAACATCGAATGGAATCGAATGGAAACATCATTGAATGGAATCATCATCAAACGGAATCTATTTGAATCCTCATTGGATAGAATCGAATGGAATCATCAAATGGAATAGAAAGGAATCATCATCGAATGCAATCGAATAGAATCATCAAATGAAAAGGAACGGAATCATCATCGAATGGAATCGAATGGAATCATCAACGAATGGAATCGAATGGAATCATCGTCTAATGGAATCAAATGGAATCATCAACGAATGGAATAGCATGGAATCATCGAATGGAATCTCATGGCATCATCATCACATGGAACCGAATGGAATCATCATGGAGTGTAATCTAATGGAATCATCATTGAATGGAATCCAATGGGATCACTGAATTGAATGGAATGATCATCGAATGGAATCAAAGGGAATCATCAAATGGGATAGAAGGGAATCATAGAATGGAATCGAATGGAATCATCGAATGGATTCAAATGGAATCACCATCAAATGGAAAAGAATGGAATCATCAAAAGGACTCGAATGGAATCATCAAGGAATAGAATCAAATGGAATAATTGAATAGACACGAATGGAATCATCATTTAATGGAATCAAATGGAATCATCGAATGGACTCAAATGGAATCATCATTGAATGGAATCGAATGGAATCATCGAATGACATTGAATAGAATAATCAATGAATGGAATCTTAAGGAATAATCGAATGGACTCGAATGGAATAATCGAATGGACTCGAGTGGAATCATCATCGAATGGAATCGAATGGAATCATCAAATGGACTCAAATGGAATCATCATTGAATGGAATGGAATGAAATCATCGAATGGACTCGAGTGGAATCATCATCGAATGGAATGGAATGGAATCATCGAATGGACTCAAATGGAATCATCATCGAATGGAATGGAATGGAATCATCGAATGGACTCGAATGGAATCATCATCAAATGGAATCTAATGGAATCATCGAAGGTACTGGAATGGAATCATAATCAAATGGAATCGAATGGAATCATTGAATGACATCGAATGGAATCCTCATTGAATGGAATGGAATGGAGTCATCAAATGGAATCCAATGGAATCATCATCGAATGGAATCAAATGGAATCATCAAATGGAATCGAATGGAACCATCGGATGGAATCGAATGGAATCATCATCGAATGGAATCGAATTGAATCATCGAATGGAATCGAATGCAATCATCTCAAACAGAATCAAATAGAACCATCCAATGAAATCAAATGGAATCATCATCGAATAGAATCAAATGGAACCATAGAATGGTATCGAATGGAATCATCATCAAATGGAATCAAAAGCAAAAATCGAATGGATTCGAAAAGAATCATCAAATGGACATGAATGGAATCATCATCCAATGGAATGAAATGGAATTAACGAATGGAATCGAATGGAATCATCATCAAATGGAATCAAATGGAATCATCTAATGGACAGTAATGGAATCCTCATTGAATGGAATCGAATGGAATAATCAAATGGAGACGAATGGAATCCCCATCGAATGGAAGTGAATGGAATCATCAAATGGACCCAAATGCAATCATCATCGAATGGAATTGAACAGAATCTTCGTTGAATAGACTCGAATGGAATCATCAAATGGACTCAAATTGAATCATTGAATGGAATTGAATGGTATCATCACAGAATGAATTGAATGGAATCATCGAATGGTCTCGAAAGGAATAATTATCAAATGCAATCGAATGTAATCACCGAATAGAATCGAATGGAATAATCATCGAATGGACTCGAATGGAATCATCATCAAATGGAATCGAATGGAATTATTGAATGGAATCGAATAGAATCATCGAATGGACTCTAATGGAATCATCGAATGGAATGTAATGGAATAATCAATGAACTCGAATGGAATCATCATTGAATGGAAACGAATGGAATCATTGAATGGAATTGAATGGAAACATCATCGAATGCAATCGAATGGAATCATCACCGACTTGAATAGAAAAGAATCATCAGCAAATGGAATCGAATGGAATCATCATGGAATGGAATCCAAAGGAATCATCATTGAATGCAACCAAATGGAATCGTCATCGAATGGACCGAAAGGAGTCATCATCGAATGGAATCGCATGGAATCATCATCAAATGGAATTGAATGGAACCATCATCAAATGGAATCTAATGGAATCATTGAATGGAATTGAACGGAATCATTATCAAATGAATTCAATGTAATCATTGAATGGTCTCGAATGGAATCATCATCAAATGGAATCACAAGGAATAATCGAATAGAATCGAATGGAATAATCATCGAATGTACTAGAATGGAATCTTCATTGAATGGAATCGAATGGAATCATTGAATGGACTCGAATGGAATCATCATCAAATGGAATCAAATGGAAACATCGAATGGACTCGAATGTAATCATCATCAAATGGAAACAAATGGAATCATTGAATGGACTCGAATGGAATCATTGAATGGACTCGAATGGAATCATGGAATGGACTCAAATGGAATCATCATCGAATGGTATCAAATGGAAAAATTGAATTTACTCGAATGGAATCATCAAATGGAATCGAATGGAATCATCATCAGATGGAAACGAATGGAATCATCATCGAATGGAATCAAATGGAATCATCGAATGGAATCAGATGGAATCATCATCGAATGGAATCAAATAGAATCATCATCGAAAGGAATCAAAGGTAATCATGGAATGGAATCGAAGGTAATCATGGAATGGAATCAAATGGAATTATCATCGAATGGGATGGAATGGAATCATCATCAAAAGGAATCGAAGAGAATCATGGAATGGAATCGATTGGAATCATCGAATGGAATCGAATGGAATCATCATCAAATGGACTCGACTGGAATTATCATCGAATGGATTCGAATGGAATCATTGAATGGACTCGAATGGAATAATCGAATGGAGAAGAATGGAATCATCGAATGGAATCAAATGGAATCATCAAATGGACTCGAATGGAAACATCATCGAATGGAATCAAATGGAATCATTGAATGGCATCGAATAGAATCATCAAGGAATGGAATCTAAGGGAATAATCGAACGGACTCAAATGGAATCATTGAATGGACTCGATTGGAATCATCATCGAATGGAATCAGCGAATGGACTCGAATGGAATCATCAAATGGAATCCAATGGAATCATCGAAAGGACTCAAATGGAATCATCATCGAATGGAATTAAATGGAGAAATCGAATGGAGTCCGTTGGAATCATCATCAAATAGAACCGAATGCAGTCATCATCAACTGGAATCGAATGGAATCATCATGATTGGAATCAAATGGAATCATCATGAATGGAATCGAATGGAATCATCATAGAAAGGAATCGAAGGGAATCATGGAATGGAATCGAATGGAATCATCGAATGGAATTGAATGGAATTATCATCGAATGGACTCGAATGGAATTATCATCGAATGGACTCAAATGGAATTATCATCAAATGGAATCAAATGGAATCATCGAATGGACTCGAATGGAATAATCGAATGGAGAAGAATGCAATCAACAAATGGAATCGAATGGAATCATCGAATGGACTCGAATGGAAACATCATCGAATGGAATCAAATGGAATCATTGAATGGCATCAAATAGAATCATCAAGGAATGGAATCTAAGGGAATAATCGAATGGACTTGAATGGAATCATTGAATGGGCTCGATTGGAATCCTCATCGAATGGAATCATCGAATAGACTCGAATGGAATCATCATCGAATGGAATCGATTGAAATCATCGAATGGACTCAAATGGAATCATCATCAAATGGAATCTAATAGAATCATCGAATGGACTCGAATGGAATCATCATTGAATGGAATCGAATGGAATCATCGAATGTCATTGAATGGAATCATCATCGAATGGAATGGAATGGAATCATCGAATGGACTCGAATGGAACAATCATCGAATGGAATTGAATGGAATCATGGAATGGACTTGATTGAAATCATCATCAGATGAAATCGAATGGAATCATCATCGAATGTAATCGAATGGAATCATCCTCAAATGGAATCGAATAGAATCATCATTGAATGGACTCGAATGAAATCATCGAATAGACTCGAATGGAATCATCGAATAGACTAGAATGCAATCGTCATCAATGGGATCGAATGTAGTTATCATCAAATGGAATCGAAAGGAATCATCTTCAAAAGGAAGTGAATGGAATCATCATCGAATGGAATCGAATGGAATCATTGAATGGAATTGAATGGAATCATCATCAAAAGGAATAGAACTGAATCATCGAATGGATTCGAATGGAATCACCGAATGGAATTGAATGGAATCAGCACCGAATGGACTCGAATGGAATCATCATCGAATGTAATAGAATGGAATCATCGAATGCACTCGAATGGAATCATCGAATGCACTCGAAGGGAATCATCTTTTGGAATCGAATGGTATCAGTGAATGGACTCGAATGGAAAATCATCGAATTGAATCAAATGGAATCATCATTGAAATGAGTAGACTGGACTCATCATCGAAGGGAATCGAATGAAATCATCGAATGGAATTCAATGGAATCATCAAATGGACACGGATGGAATCATCATCGAATGGAATCTAATGGAATCCTGGAATGGACACGAATGGAATAATCATCGAATGGAATTGAAAGGAGTCATCGAATGGACTCGAATGGAATCATCGTCAAATGGAATCAAATGGAATCATCGAATGGCATCAGATGGAATCATCATTGAATGGAATCGAATGGAATCATCAAATGGACTCGAATGGAATAATCAAATGGAATCGAAAGGAATAAACATCGAATGGAATCGAATGGAAACATCGATTGGATTCGAATGGAATCATCATGAATGGAATCAAAAGGAATCATCATCGAATGAAATCGAATGGAATCAATGACAGGATATGAATGGAATCATTGTCGAATGGAATCGAATGGAATCATCGAATGGACTCGAATGGAATCATCATCAAATGGAATAGAAAGGAATCATCAAAAGGAATTGAATGGAATCATCATCGAAAGAAATTGAATGGAATCATTAAATGGAATCGAGTACAATCATTGTTGAATGGACTCGAATGGAATCATCGAATGGACTCGAATGGAATCATCATCAAATGGATTCGAATGGAATCATTGAATGGAATCGAATGGAATCATCAAATAGACTCGAATGGAATTATCATTGCATGGAATCAAATGGAATCATTGAATGGAATCAAATGCAATCATAATCGAATGTAATCATATGGAATCATCAAATTGAATCAAATAGAGTCATCATCGAATGAAATCACATGGAATCATTGAAAGCATTCAAAAGGAATCATCATCGAATGGAATTGAATGGAAACAACGAATGGAATAGAATGGAAGCATCATCAAATGGAATCATCGAATGGACTCGGTTGGAATCATCGTTGAATTGAATCGAATGGAATCATCATCAAATGGAAACAAATGGAATCATCATTGAATGGAATCAAATGCAATCATCATCAAAAGGAATCGAATGGAATTATCATCGAATGGAATCAAATGGAATCATCTTTGAATAGAATCAAATGGAATCATCGAATGGAAACGAATGGAATCATAAACGAAGGGAATCCAATGGAATCATCATCAAATGGAACTGAATGGAATCATTGAATGGAATCGAATCAAATCATTGAATGGACTCAAATGGAATCATCATTGAATGGATTTGAATGGAAACATCGAATGGACTCTAATGGAATCATCATTGAATGGAATCAAAAGGAATCATCATCGAATGAAATCAAATGGAATCAATGAATGGACTCAAATGGAATCATCATCGAATGGAATCAAATGGAATCATGGAATTTACTCGAATGGAATCATCATCGAATTGAAATGAATGGAATCATCAAAATGAATCGAATGGAATCTTAATCAAATGAAACCGAATGGAATCATCGAGTGGCATCAAATGGAATCATCATCCACTGGAATCAAATAGAATCATCTAACAGACTCGAATCAAATCATCATCGAATTGAATCGAATGGAATTATCGAATGGAAACGAATGGAATCATCATGGAATGGAATCAAATGGAAACATCAGCGAATGGAATCGAATGGAATCATCAAAAGGAATAGAATGGAATCATTTTCGAATGGAATCGAATAGAATCATCGAATGAAATCGAATGGAATCATCATCAAAAGGAATCCAATGGAATCATCATCAAATGGAATCGAATGGGATCATCATCAAATGGAACCGAATACAATGATCATCAAGTGGAATAGAATAGAATCATGAATAAAGGGAATCAAATGGAATCATCGAATGGAATCTAATGGAATCATCATCAAATGGAACTGAATGGAATCATCATCAAATGGAACCTAAAGGGGTAATTTTCGAATGGATTCTAGTGGAATGATCATCGAAAGGCATTGAATGGAATTATGGAATGGAATCAAATGGAATCATCATCAAATGGAATCGAATGGAAACATCGAATGGACACGAATGGAATCCTCTTTGAATGGACTCGAATGGAATCATCCTCGAATGGAAACGAATAGAATCATCATTGAATGGACTCTAATGAAATCATCAAATAGACTCGAATAGAATCATTGAATGTACTAGAATGCAATCATCATCACTGGGATCGTATGTAATTATCATCAAATGGAATCAAAAGGAATCACCTTCAAAAGGAATCGAAAGGAATCATCATCAAATGGAATCGAATGGAATCATTGAATGGAATCATCATCAAAAGGAATTGAAGTGAATCATCGAGAGGTATTGAATGGAATCATCTAATGGAATCAAATGGAATCATCATCGAATGGACTCGAATGGAATCATCATCGAATGGAATAGAATAGGAACATCGAATGCACTCGATTGGAATCATCAAATGGACTCGAAGGGAATCATCGATTGGAATCGAATGGAATCAGCAAATGGACTCGAATGGAATCATCAAATGGAATCGAATAGAATCATCTAATGGAATCGAATGGAATCATCATCAAATGGAATCAAATTAAATCATAGAATGGACACGAATGGAATCATCACTGAATGAAGTAGAATGGAATCATCATCGAATGGAATCAAAAGCAATCATCAAATGGATTCGAATAGAATCATCAAAGGGACACAAATGGAATCATCATCAAATGGAATCAGATGGAATCAACTAATGGAATCAACTGGTATCATCATCGAAATGAATCAAATGGAATCATCTAATGGACTGGAATTGAATCCTAATCAAATGGAATCGAATGGAATCATCAAATGGACAAGAATGGAATCCTTATGGAATGGAATCAAATGGAATTATCAAATGGACTCAAACGGAATCATCATCGAATAGAATCAAATTGAATCATCGTTGAATGGGCTCGAATGGAATCATCAAATGGACTGGAATGGAATCATCAAAAGGACTTGAATGCAATCATAATCAATAGAATCGAACGGAATCAGCATCGAACGGAATCAAATGGAATCATCATCAAATGGAATCAAATGGAATCATCGAATGAAATCGGATGTAATCATCATCGAATGGAATCGAATGGAATCATCATCAAATGGAATCCAATGGAATCACCATCAAATAGAACCAAACTGAATCATTGAATGGACTCGAAAGGAATCATCGAATGGACTCGAATGGAATCATCTTCAAATGGAATCGAATGGAAACATCGAATGGACTCGAATGGAATCATTGAACAGAGTTGAACGGAATCATCATCAAATGGAATCAAATGGAATCATTGAATAGTGTCAAATGGAATCATCATCGAATGGAGTCAAATGGAATCATCGAATGGAATCAAATGGAATCTTCATAGAATCGAACCGAATGGAATCATCTTCAAATGGAATCGGATGGAATCATTGAATGGACTCGAATAGAATCATCATCGAATGGAATCTAATGGAATCGTCATCGAATGGAATCGAATGGAATCATGGAATGGAATAGAATGGAATCATCATCGAATGGAATCGAATGGAATCATGGAATGGAATAGAATGGAATCATCATCGAACAGAATCGAATGGAATCATCATTGAATGGAATTGAATGGAAACATCATCGAAAGGAATTCAATGTAATCACCATAGAATGGAATCAAATGGATTCATCAACGAATGCAATCGAATGGAATCATCAACAGGAATCATCATCGAATGAAATTGAAAAAATCATCGAATGGAATTGAATGCAATCATCATCTAATGGAATTGAATGAAATCATCATTGAATGGAATTGAATGGAATCATCGAAAGGAATCGAATGGAATAAACATCAAATGCAATTGAATGAAATCTTCAAATGAAATCGAATGGAATCATTGAATGGAATTGAATGAAATCATCATCGAATGGAATTGAATGAAATCATCATCACATGGAATCAAATGGAATGATCGAATGGAATCGCACGGATTCATCATTGAATAGAAGTGAATGGAATCATCAAATGGAATCGAATGGAATCATCGAATGGAACCGAATGAAATCATCACTGAATTGAATCAAACGGAATCATCGAATGGAATCAAATGCTATCATCATCGAATGGAATCGAATGGAATCATCATCGAATGGAATTGAATGCTATAATCATTGAATGGAATCAAATGGAATCATCATCGAATGGATGTGAATGGAGTCATCCATTGGAATCGAATGGAATCATCATCAAAGGGAATCAAATGGAATCATCAAATGCAATCGAATGGAAACATCATTGCATGGAATCGTATGGAATCATCATCACATGGAATCAAATGGAATCATCATCAAATAGTATCGAAAGGAATCATCGAATGCAATCGAATGGAATAAATTGAATGGAATCGAATGGCATCATCATCGAATGGAATCGAAAGGAATCATCGAATGGAATCATCATTGAATCATATCAAAAAGAATCCTCGAATGGAAAGAAATGTAATCATCATAGAATGTAATAGAATGGAATTATCATCAAATGGAATCGAACGGAATCATCGAAAGGAATCGAATGGAATAATTATCAAATGGAATTGAATGGAATCATCGAATGGAATTGAATGGAATCATCGAATGGAATCGAATGGAATCATCATCGAATGGAATCGAATGGAATCATGGAATGGAATTGAATGGAATCATCATCACATGGAATCAAATGGAATCATCGAATGGAATCGAATGAAATCATCATCCCATGGAATCAAATGGAATCATCATCACATGGAATCGAATGGAATCATTATCGAATGGTATCAAAAGGAAACATCGAATGGAATTGAATGGAATAAATCTAATGGAATCGAATGGAGTCATCATCAAATGGAATCAAATGGAATCATTGAATGGAATCATCATAGAATGAAATCGAAAAGAATCATCGAATGGAATCGAATGCAATCATCATCAAATGGAATTGAATGGAATCATCAAATGGAATTGAATGGAATCATCATCAAATGGAATCGAAAATAATCATCAAATGGAATTAATGTAATTGTCTTCGAATGCAATCGAATCATTGAATGTAATTGAGTAGAATCATCATCACATGCAATCGAATAGAATAATCAAATGGAATTGAATGGAATCATCATCACATGGAATCGAATGGATTCATCATTGAATGATATTGAAAGGAATCATCAAATGGAATTGAATGGAATAAATCAAATGGAACAGAATGGAATAATCATCAAATGTAATCCAATGGAATCCTCGACTGGAATCATCATCGAATGAAATTCAAAAAAATCATCAAATGGAATTGAATGGAATCATCATTGAATCCAATCATCATCGAATGGAATCAAATGGAATCATCAAAAGGAAGTGAATGGAATAAATATCAAATGCAATTGAATAAAATCCTCGAAAGGAATCGAATGACATCATTGAATGGAATCAAATGGAATCATCATCGAATGGAATCAAACGCAGTCATTGAATGGAATCAAATGGAATCATCTTCACATGGAATCAAATGGAATGATCGAATGGAATTGCATGGAATCATCATCGAATGGAAGCGAATGGAATCATCAAATGCAATCATCTAATGGAAGCGAATGGAATCATCGAATGCAATCATCTAATGGAATCGAATGAAATCATCACTGAATGGAATCAAACGGAATCATTGAATGGAATTGAATGCAATCATCATCGAATGGAATCGAATGGAATCATCATTGAATGGAATCGAATGGAATCATAGAATGGAATTGAATGGAATCATCATCAAATGATGTGAATGCAGTCATCCAATGGAATCGAATGGAATCATCATCAAATGGAATCAAATCGAATCATCAAATGCAATCTAATGGAATCATCATCGCATGGAATCCAATGGACTCATCATCACATGGAATCGAATGGAGTCATCATCAAATGGTATCGAAAGGAATCATCGAGTGGAATCCAATGGAATAAATCGAATGGAATCAAATGGAATCATCATCGAATGTAATCGAATGGAATCATCGAATGGAATCATCATTGAATGAAATCAAAAAGAATCATTGAATGGAAAGGAACGCAATCATCATCGAATGGAATAGAATGGAATCATCATCGAATGGAATCGAACAGAATCATTGAAAGGAATCGAATGGAATAATCATTGAATGGAATCAAATGGAATCATCAAATGGAATCGAGTGGAATCATTGAATGGAATTGAATGGAACCATCATCGAATGGAATCGAATGGAATCATGGAGTGGAATCGAATGGAATCATCATCACATGAAATCAAATGGAATCATCAAATGGAATCGAACGGAATAATCATTGAATTGAATCGAATAGAATCATAAAATGGAATCGAATGGAATCATAATCTAATGGAATAGACTGGAATCATCATCGAATGGAATCGAATGGAATCATCATCGAATGGAATCGAATGGAGTCATCTGATGGAATCATCATCGAATGGAATCGAATGCAATCATGGAATGGAATCAAATGGAATCATCTTCACATGGAATCGAATGGAATCTTCATCACATGGAATCAAATGGAATCATCTAATGGAATTGAATGGAATAATCTTCGAATGGAATAGAATGGAATAATCGAATAGAATTGAATGGAATCATAGAATGGAAACGATTGGAATCATAATCGAATGGAATCGACTGGAATCATCATCGAATGGAATCGAATGGAATCATCGAATGGAATCGAATGGAATCATCAAATGGAATCGAATGGAGTCATCTGATGGAATTGAATGGAATCATCATCGAATGGAATCGAATGCAATCATGAAATGGTATTGAATGGAATCATCTTCACATGGAATCGAATAGAATCATCATCACATGGAATCTAATGGAATCATCATCGAATGGTATCAAAATGAAACATCGAATGGTATCGAATGGAATAAATCGAATGGAATTGAATGGAATCATCATGGAATGGAATCAAATGGAATCATGGAATGGAATCATCATCGAATGAAATTGAAAAGAATCATCGAATGGAATCAAATGCAACCATAATCGAATGGAATCGAATGGAATCATCATCGAATGGAATTGAACAGAATCATTGATAGGAATCGATTGGAATAATCATTGAATGGAATCGAATGATATCCTAGAATGGAATCGAATGGAATCATCGAATGGAATTGAATGGAATCATCATCGAAAGTAATTGAAAGGAATCATGGAATGGAATCGAATGAAATCATAATTGCATATAATCAAATGGAATCATTGAATGAAATCAAATGGAATCATCATCGAATGGAATCGAATGGAATGATTGAATGGAATCGAATGAAATCATCGAATGGAATTGAATGGAATCATTATCGAATGGAATCATCATAGAGTGGAATTGAATGGAATCATCGAAAGGAGTCGAATGGAATAATCATTGAATGGAATTGAATGGAATCCTCGAATGGAATCGAAAGGAATCAACAAATGGAATCAAATGGAATCATCATCAAATATAATCGAATGGAATCATTGAATGGAATCAAACAGAATCGTCATCGAATGGAATCAAATGGAATCATCATCTAATGGAATCAAATGGAATCATTGGAAGGAATCAAATGGAATAATCATGTAATGGAATCGAATGGAATCCTCGAATGGTGTCAAATGGAGTCACCAAATGGAACCGAATGGAATCATCATCGAATGGAATCGAATGGAATAATGGAATGGAATCAAAGAGAATCATCATCGCATGGAATCCAATGGAATCATTGAATGGAATCAAATGGAATAATCATTGAATGGAATCGAATGGAATCATTGAATGGAATCCAATGGAATCATGGAATGGATTCAACAAATGGAATCGAATGAAATCATCATCGAATGGAATTGAATGGAACCATCATCAAACGGAATGAAATGGAATCATCATCGAATTCAATCGAATGGAATCATCAAATTCAGTTGAATGGAATCATCATCGAATGGAATCACTGAATGGAATCGAATGGAATCATCATCAAATGGAATCGAGTAGAATCATCATCGAATGGAATCAAAAGGAATCATCAAAAGGAATCGAATGGAATCATCATTGAATGGAACCAAATGGAATAATCATCAAATGGAATAGTATGGAATCATCGAATTGAATCGAATGGAATCATCAAATGGAATCGAATGGAATCATCATCGAATGGAATCATCATCGAATGGAATCGAATGGAATCATTGAATGGAATCGAATGCAATCATCATCAAAAGGAATTGAATGGAATCATCATCGAATGGAATTGAATGGATTCATTGAAAGAAATCGAATGGAATAATCATCAAAGGGAATTGAATGATATCATCGAATGTAATCATCATCAAATGAAATCGAAAAGAATCATCAAATGGAATCGAATGCAATCATCATCAAATGGAATCAAATGGAATCCTCATCGAATGGAATCAAACGGAATCATCGAAAGGAGTCGAATGAAATAATCATCAAATGGAATCCAATGAAATCCTAGAATGGTATCGAATGGAATCATTGAATGGAATCATATGGAATCATCGAATGGAATCAAATGGAAATAACGTCAAATGGAATCATTGAATGGAATCGAATGGAATAATCATCAAATGGAATCATTGAATGGAATCAAATGGCATCAGCCAATGGAATCGAATGGAATCATCATCGAGTCGAATCGAATGGAATCATCCAATGAAGTCTAATGCAATCATCATCGAATGGAATCGAATGGAATCATCGAATGGACTCGAATGGAATCATCATTGAATGGAATCGAATGGAATCATCAAATGGACTCGAACGCAATCATCATCAAATGGAATCGAATGGAATCATGGATCGGAGTTGAATGGAATCATCATCAAATTGAATCGAATGGAATCATCGAATGGACTCGAATGGAATCAACATCGAATGGAATCAAATGGAATCATTGAATGGAATCAAATGGAATCATCCTCGAATGGAATCGAATGGAATCATCTAATGGAATCAAATGGAAACATCATCGAATGGAATCGAATGGAATCATCGAATGGGCTCTAAGGGAATCATCATCAAATGGAATTGAATGGAATCATCATAGAATGGAATTGAATGGAATCGAATGGAATCATCATCGAATGGAATCGAATGGAATCATTTAATGGAATCATCATCGAATGGAATGGAATGGAATCGTCATCGAATGGACACGAATGGAATCATCATGGAATGGAGTGGAATGGAAACATCATCGAATGTACTGGAATGGAATCATCATCGAATGGACTCGAAAGGAATAATCACCAAATGTAATCAAATGGAATCATCATCGAAAGGAATCAAATGGAATCATCATCAAATGGAATGTAATGGAGTCATCATTGAATGGAATTGAATTGAATCATCATCGAATGGAAATGAAAAGGAACATCATCGAATGGAATCGAATAGAATCATCGAATGGACTCGAATGGAATCATCATCGAATGGAATTGAATGAAATCATCGAATGGACTCGAATGGAATCATCATCAAATGGAATCGAGTGGAATCATCGAATGGACTCGAGTGTCTATTCTGACAGGTCTGGGGATATCTAAATGACTCATGAAAGGCTTTTTTTCCTGTGTTGCTAGAATACAGAACAGATAAGGAATGGACATTTTTAAGAAACTGCAAGGAAACCTAACAAGCCACAGATGCTTAGGGCAAAAATTAGAGTTTACACTTATAGTAGATCACCTTCAGCACAGCAAGAAAAGTTGGAGAAGAGTATTTCAAAAACTAAAACATACAAAATCATTCACGTACATGGGAGAGTATAGAAAGTCACATGAATTCATAGGTTAAGCCACATGCTGACAAATGTCATAAGAAGACCCTACACTTTTACCTTGGTCGATCCCTCCCCTCTGTGCAAGCTCTGTGCAAGAGTGAACTTGAACTTCACTCAGTGCAAGAGTGAACACACACTTTGTGCCAGCTTTAAAGAACCCATCACAAAGCCAGTCTGCATGGCCTAGAGACATATTTTGCTGGACAATGATTACTTGTTTTTCTTTTTGTTTTTCTTGTATTTGCCTGTTTGATTGGTTCCTGACATACAAGAAAATCACTGTCAAAACTTTAGCTTAACATTTGTTATGGAAACAAAAAGACTTCAGTGACACCTTATAAAGCAAACAGTTTTGTAAATCACTTTGGAAAATTTCACTTAAAAAAAATCCTTAACAATATAATAAGTAAAGAAAATTTAAAACCACAAAACATTACTGTGTTTGTAGGGGTGTCTGATTTACAGAGTAACCACATAGTAATTATAATTATTATAATGTACAGTTTTCAAAAAAAGTTTCAAGGCATACAAAGAATGGGAAAGTATGGCTCATTCAAAGGAACAAAACAAATTGACAGAGAATATCTCTAAGGGAACTCAGACATCAAACTTACTAGACAAAGACTTTAAAACAACTCTCTTAATTATACTCAAATGTCAAAAGGAAAACATAAACAAAGAAATAAAGGAATCAGAAAAAATATTAAAAATTAGGAATATCAACAGAGATAGCACAAATTCTGGAGTGGAAAACTACAATGATAAAAATTTAAAAATCACCAGAGGGATTTAAGAGTATATTTGCACATACAGAAGAAGTCATGAGCTTGAAGATAAGAAAATGGAAAATATTGACTCTGAGAAACAGATAAAAAATGAGCAGAGACTAAGGAATTTGTGAGACATCATCAAATAGACCAACATTCATATTCTAGAAGGATAAATTATGTTGTTGAAAACTTTAGCATTCTTTCTTTTCACCTTTCTTTCTTCTTCCCTCCCCCTCCTCCTCCTTTTTACTTTTCTTCCTCTTCCTTGCTCTTCTTCTGTCTCTCCTTCATTATCCCTTTCACTCTGTTTCTCTTTCTCCCTTTCTCTTTTTTCTTTTCTTTCAATTTTCTCAATTACTAAGAGATGTTTAAATACCCTTACCATGTGAGTTGATATGGTTATTTCTCCTTTAATTCTCTTTTGAGATTTATAGTCACTCTAAGTAAAGAGATAACCCAAACATAAGCCTCACAAAC
This sequence comes from Homo sapiens, assembly GCF_000001405.40. Lineage (NCBI taxonomy): Eukaryota > Metazoa > Chordata > Mammalia > Primates > Hominidae > Homo > Homo sapiens. Next base: position 2,489 of record NT_187392.1, on the reverse strand, counting down.
AGGCTTCCATACCATTCTTAATTTGGTCCTGTAATTCTTCATTGCTGTATTAACTTTCTGATGCTTTTAAGGATGTTTTATAACAAATTGTTTAGTTTTTTCCACTGGAATGTTTATTCTGAATTATCTAATTCATATTGTAAGTATAGAGGGAGTTTAATATAAAATTATTAAACTGATATTTGTGAAAGAATGTATTTGTGCATTTAACAAATATGTTAAACCTCAGACTGTTATTGGGCAGCTGAGCATACAGCAATAAAAATAACATAATTTTTATGTGTACAATATTTATGGAATACGTTACTGGAACAAATAAATAATTTAGTTAATAACATGACAAAGAACAGAAATTGTATAGACTATAGAGCATAGTAATGGAATAATGAATGATTAAAGTTATTAATATTAGGTAGAAAATGAAGGGTATCTTTGAGAGCAGAACTCAAGGAAGCAAGCAATTTGCCTTATGTGGAAAGAGTTACCTGTGGATAAAGGAGAAACTGAAAAATTTACAAGTCAAGACTTTTTGAGCAAAAACAAAAATATGACTATTAGTCACCAATTCAGTACAGTGAAAAAAAAGTAGAAGAGATATCTTGGAAGTAAACCATGTTGTGGAAGAGCATGTAGGGTTTTGATAATCATGGGATTATTCTGAATTAATTTTAAATGCGATAGGAATATATGAGATAATTTCACCAGAGAATAACATGATTGTGTTTGCATTTCAAAGGGGTGTATCTGGTGCACTGTGTAGAATAAATAGGTTATGTGAGCAAATAAATTGGGAGGCTACTGTAATCCAGAGAAAACAGGTAGTGACTTAGGTGAGAATACTGTGAGGATGAGTGGTAGTAGTGGTGAGAAGTCGTTAGGCCATGGATGTATTTCATAGGACTATCCAAGAGAACTGCAGCTGAATTGGAGTGTAGGGAGTGAAATGGAGAACTCAAAGATGACTCTCAGCACTGGAAGGTGACAGCTGTCACTGAAGCATGCTGATGCCTCTCATTAAGAGAGTTACTTGGGAATGGCAAGATCAAAACTTCTCACTTTCAAATTTATGAAAAATATTGTTTTCAGAACGAATGACTTTGGGATCAGAAAGCCACCATTCTAATTGATGGTTCCACGACTACACGGGCTCACACTCCCAAGAGCAAAAGTAAATCATCACAAAGGTGCTTCCTGATAATTCTAGAGAATGGAGAATTACTGTAACATCTTTCTGATCTTAGGAGAGGTAGCAGTTCCCTTTTTAGCCTAAATGCTATATTTTTTAAAGCTCAGCCAAGAGACTCCATTATAATTTTCAAATGTGTGTAACTTAAATTCTCATATGAAATACCACTATGCTTAAATTAGTCAAAACATTTTCCCCATCTACAACTCTATCTTGTCATCGCAATCATTTTCACAAAAGTGACTGCAGCTCACAGACCCTAAAAGGAGAAAAACCAGGGTAGGTTATCTGATCTAGTTAGTTTCGAAGACAGGATCTAGAGATTATTTAATATGAAATAGGTCACCTGAAATGTTTACTGAAAACAGCTTGGATCAGCCCAGTTTTCTACCACTGAACCATGCATTTGGTTTAAAAAACACAATTCTGGGGAATATCGGCTGCTTCCAACTGTGTTGAAGGTGTTAAAGAAAAGAGCATAAAATTAAAAATGATCATCTGAGGCCTTTATAGTCTCTGCTCAAGAGACTAGAGTCTTCCATTCTTAACGAAACACCCAAATATCTTAATAATTGGGCAAAATCTAAATATCAGAGATAATTTTATCTTGAAGATTGTTAAATTATAATGGTGATTCACTACCTTGCCACGTCTCTGAGTCAAAAATTAGGTCTTTGTTTAAGAATCAATGGTGCTCTGCAACTTGGAAATAGGAAGATTTTAGAAGACTCAAACACTGACTTTCTTGTGTGCAAAAAAAGACGTATTGAGATAAGACAAGTCTTTCCTTGCAAGGATACCTCTAATGCTCATACACCACCTCCCCTAACGTTAATATAGCTTCCAGGTCACTAACCAGTGTCAGAGAGCAGCCCATGCAACTACAAATTCAAAAGATGTCGAACACAGGGTCAAGCCTAGAATAAGAAGTCTTAGCTAATTAAGTATGCTTTTTTCCCCAAATTCATATTAACAAAACTTGGATATGTCAGAGAATGCATTCTAAGTTCACTCAACCTAGGAGGGAGAAACATAATTTTAAATTAAGAGCTGAATTATTCTTGTCCTATCAGAAAGCAAGGAAAACGAAATATCACACCACAGGAGGGATTTCACAAATTAGTGTCAACATCAAAACCTTAAAACAGTCAAGGAGAATGCAGATTCACAATGAACTCTTGTACTTGTTTTGTTCAGAGAAGAGATGGTTCTGAGAGAATGACAGTGAACTAACCCCAGCTGGTTTAGTTGGTGCTTTCAAATGCTGCTTCTGATAAACTCCTTTAGCTAGAATAAATTGATG
>NT_187391.1:179260-181920 GCF_000001405.40 Homo sapiens | reverse complement strand
GATTCCATTCCATTCCATTCAATTTCATTCCATTGCTTTCCATACCATTCCACTCCATTCCACTTCACTCCAATAAACTCCACTCCACTCCTTTCCATTCCTTCCCATTCTATTTCATTCCATTCCTCTCCGCACCACTCCAGTCCACTCCATTCCATTCCAATCCATCCCATTCAATTCCCCTCCATTCCACTCCATTCCACACCACTTCACTACACTCCATTGGATTCCATTCCATTGAATTTCACTTCATTCCATTCCATTCCTTTCTTTCGACAGGATCTCACTGTGTCACACTGGCTGGAGTGGAGTGCAGTGCCACTATCTCAGGTCACATTTAATTTCACCATCCATTCCTTTGTATTCCATTGCGTTCCTTTCCATTTCATTCCATTGCATTCCATTCCATTTCATTCCATTGCATTCCATTCCATTTCATTCCATTGCATTCCATTCCATTTCATTCCATTGCATTCCATTCCATTTCATTCCATTGCATTCCATTCCTTTGCATTCCATTGCATTCCATTCCATTGCATTCCATTCAATTCCATTCCATCCCATTCCGTTCCATTCCACTTCTGTGAACTCCACTCCACTCCACTCCACTCAATTCCATTCCATCCCATTCCTTTCCACTCCATTCCACTATACTCCACTCCATTCCACTCCACTCTATTCCATTCCATTCCTCCACACTCCAGTCCACTCAACTCCCCTCCACTCCACTCCTCACCATTCCATTCCATTCCATCCCTTTCCATTCCACTCAATTCCACTCCACTCCACTCAACTAAACTCCACTCCACTCCATTCCATTCCACTCCATCACTTTCTATTCTACTTTATTCCACTCCACTCCACTCCACTGCCTTCCATTCCATTCCATTCCATTCCTTTCTTTTGAGAGGATCTCATACTGTCACCCAGGCTGGAGTTCGGTGGCACAATATCACATCACATTTCATTTCACCATTGCATTTAATTTCATTCTATTCCATTCCATTCCACTCCACTCCATTCCACTCCACTCCACTCCATTTCATTCCATTCTACTCAACTCCTCTCCACTCAATCCCATTCGTTTCCACCCCACTCCACTCCACTCCATTCCACTCCATTCCATTGCATTCCATTCATTCCCTTCCATTCCATTTCCCTCCATTCCATTATATTCCACTCCACTCCACTCCCCTCCACTCCATTTTATTCCATTCTACTCCATTCCATTCCATTCCTTTATTTCAAATGGATCTCACACTGTCACACAGACTGGAGTGCAGTGGCAAAATCTTAGCTCACATTTCATTTCTCCATTCCATTCCATTCCATTCCACTCCACTCCATTCCACTCCACTCCACTCCATTCCATTCCATTAAACTCCATTACATTCCACTCCACTCCACGCCACCCCATTACACTCCACTCCACTCTACTCCATTCCACTCCACTCCATTCCGTTACAATCCATTCCACTCCATTCCACTTCATTCCACTGCACTCTTCTCCACTGCACTTCATTCCACTCCACTGCATTCCATTCCGCTCCACTCCACTCCACTACATTCCACTCCACTCGTCTCCAGTCCACTCCACTCCATTCCATTCTACCACATTCCATTCCATTCCTTTATTTCGATTGGATCTCACTCTGTCACCCAGACTGGAGAGCAGTGGCACAATCTTAGCTCACATTTTATTTCACCATTCCATTCCATTCCATTCTATTCTACTCTATCCCATTCCATTGCACTCCATTCCATGCCAACACATTCCATTCCCTTCCTTTCCTTTGAAAGGATCTCACTGTGTCAAAAAAGGCTGTAATACAGTGGCACCATCTCAGCTCACATTACTTTCACCACTCCATTGCATTTCATTCCATTTCATTTCATTCCATTCCACTCCACTCCATTCCACTACACTCCACTCCATTCCACTACACTCCAGTCCACTCCCCTCTATTCCATTTCATTCCATTCCATTCCTTTCCATTCCATTCCATTCCTTTCAATTCCATTCCATACCATTCCACTCCATTCCACTCCACTCCAATAAACTCCACTCCACTGCACTCTACTACTTTCCATTCCATCCCATTCCATTTCACTCCATTCCTCTCCACTCCACTCCTGTCCACTCCATTTCACTACAATCCATTCGATTCCATTTCATTCCATTTCACTCCATTCAATTCCATTCCTTTCTTTCCACAGGATCTCACTGTGTCACCCTGGCTGGAGTTCAGTGGCACGATCTCAGTTCACATTTAATTTCACCATCCATTCCTTTGCATTCCATTGCATTCCATTCCATTTCATTCCATTACATTCCTTTCCATTTCATTCCATTGCATTCCATTCCTTTGCATTCCATTGCATTCCATTCCATTGCATTCCATTCAATTCCATTCCATCCCATTCCATTCCACTTCTGTGAACTCCATTCCACTAAACTCCACGGCATTCCATTCCATTCCACTCCACTCCACTCAATTCCATTCCATCCCACTCCATTCCACTCCATTCTACTATACTCCAATCCACTCTACTAAACTCCATTCCATTCCACTCCTTCCCACTCCACTCTGCTGAACTCCCCTCCACTCCACTCCTCACCACTCCATTCCATTCCATCCCTTTCCATTCTACTCAATTCA
>NT_187391.1:170747-175725 GCF_000001405.40 Homo sapiens | reverse complement strand
TTGCATTCCATTCCGTTCCATTGCATTCCATTCCGTTCCATTGCATTCCATTCCATTCCATTCCATTGCATTCCATTCAATTCCATTCCACTCTACTCCACTCCAATCCACTCCAGTCCACTCAACTGCACTCCTTGCCATTCCCTTCCATCCCATTGCATTCCACTCCATTCCTCTCTACTCCACTCCAAATCACTCCACTCCAGTCCATGCCGTTCCATTCCATCCCACTCCATTCCACTCCGTTCCACTCGACTCCACTGCAATCCACTCCACTCCATTCCATTCCATTCCATTCTATTCCACTCCATTTTATGCCATTCGTTTCTTTCGACGGGATCTCACTGTGTCAAAAAAGGCTGGAATACAGTGGCACAATCTCAGCTCAGATTTCATTTCACCATTGCATTGCATTCCATTCCATTCCATTCCACTCCACTCCATTCTACTCCACTCCACTCCAGTCCATTCCATTCCACTCCACTCTATTCCACTCCACTCCACTCCATTCCTTTCCATCCCATTCCGTTTCACTCCACTCCTCTCCACTCCACTCCGTTCCATTCCACTCCGTCCCATTCCATTCTACTGCATTCCACTCCATTGCACTCCATTCCACTCCACTCCACTCCACCTCATTCCATTCCATTCCATTCCATTCCATTCCATTCCATTCCATTCCATTCCATTCCACTCCTTTCCATTCCATTCCATTCTTTTGACAGGATCTCACTCTGTCACCCACGATGGGATGTATTGGCACTATCTCAGCTCACATTTAATTTCACCATTCCATTTCATTCCATTGCATTCCATTGCATTCCATTCCATTGCATTCCATTCCTTTCCATTAAATACCACTCCATTCCATTCCATTGCATTCCATTGCATTCCATTCCATTGCATTCCATTCCTTTCCATTAAATACCATTCCATCCTATTTCATTCCACTCCAGTGAACTCCACTCCACTGCATTCCATTCCATTCCATTCCACTCCACTCCAATCCACTCCACACCATTCCATTCTATCTCATTCCATTCCAATGTACTCCACTGTACTCCACTCCACTCCACTCCATCCATTCCATTCCATTCCATTCTATTCCATTCCATTCCACTCCTTTCCATTCAATTCCTTTCTTTCAACAGGATTTCACTCTGTCACCCAGGCTGGAGTGCAGTGGCACAATCTCAGCTGATATTTCATTTCTCCACTCCATTCTATTCCATTCCATTCCATTCAATTCCATTCCACTACCTTCCATTCCTCTCCACTCCACTCCACTTCAATCCATTAGATTCCATTGCATGCCATTCCACTCCACTCTACGCCACTCCTCTCCAAGTCACTCCACTCCAATCCATTCAATTCCATCCAATTCCATACCACTCCACTCCACTCCCCACCACTCCACTCCCCTCCCCACCACTCCACTCCCCTCCATTTATTTCCAATCGATTCCATTCCACGCCATTCCATTCCACTTCACTCCTCTCCACTCCGCTACACTACATTCCATTCCATTCCTTTCCACTCCATTCCATTCCACTCCACTCCACTCTACTTCACTCCATTTCACCCCACTCCACTGCATTCCATTCCATTCCAATCCATTCCATTCCATTCCATTCCAGTCCACTTCACTCCAGTTCAGTCCAATCCACTCCACTCCACTCTATTCCATTCCATCCCATTCCATTCCACTATTCTCCACTCCACTCCACTGTACTCCACTCCACTCCACTCCATTCCCTTCCATTCCATTCCTCTCCTTCCCATTCCATTTTCGTTTGACAGGATTTCACTCTGTCACCCACGGTGGAGTGCAGTGGCACAATTTCAGCTCATATTTCATTTCATCATTCCATTCTATTCCATTCCATTCCTTTCCATTCCACTCAATTCCATTGCACTACATTCCATTCCACTCCACTCCACTACACTCGACTCCATTCCATTCCATTCCACTCCACTCTACTCCAATCCTCTCCACGCCACTCCACTCCACTCCATTTAATTCCATCCAATTCCATACCACTGAACTCTTCTCCCCACCATTCCACTCCCCTTCCTCCACTTCATTCCATTCGATTCATCCCCTTCCATTCCACTCCACTCCTCTCTACTCCGCTACAGTCCATTCCATTCCATTTCTTTCCAGTTCATTTCCTTCCACTCCATTCCATTCCATTCCATTCCAATACTATCCCTTCCATTCCTTACATTTGACAGGATATCACTCTGTCACTCAGTCTGGAGTGCAGTGGTAAAATCTCAGCTTACATTTCGTTTCACTATTCCTTTCCATTCCATTCCGTTCCATTCCACTCCACTCCACTCCAGTGCACTCAAATCCACTCCATTTCATTCCATTCCATTTCCCTCCATTCCACTCCAGTCCACTCCATTCCACTCCACTACACTCCATTCCATTCCATCCCATTCCATTCCACTCCATTCCACTCCAGTCCCCTCAACTCCACTGCACTCCATTCCGTTCCACTCCATGATATTCCATTCCACTCCTTTCCACTCCACAGCACTCCACTCCACTCTGCTATACTCCACTGAATTCCATTCCATTCCTTTCTTTTGACAGCATCTCACTCTGTCACCCAGGCTGGCATGCAGTGGCACAAACTAGGCTCACATTTCATTTCACCATTCCATTCCATTCTATTCCATTGTATTCCATCCCTTTGCATTCCATTCCATTCCGTTCCTTTCCATTCTATTTATTTCCATTCCATTCCATTCCACTCCACTGCATTCCACTCTACTCCACTCCAATCCACTCCACTCCACTGCACTCCATGATATTCCATTCCATCCCATTCCATTCCACTCGGTTCCACTCTACTCCACTCCAATCCACTCCACTCCACTGCACTCCATTGCATTCCATTCCATCCCTTTCCATTCCACTCCATTCCACTCGACTCCACTGCACTCAACACCACTCCACTCCACTCCACTCCATTCTATTCCATTATACTCCATTCCATTCCATTACTTTCTTTCCATAGGATTTCCCTCAGTCACAAAGCCTGGAATGCAGTGGCACAATCTCAGCTCACATTTCTTTTCACCATTCCATTGCTTTCCATTCCCTTCCACTTTATTTCACTCCACTCCACTCCACTTTACTCCATTCCATTCCACTCCTTCCCATTCCATTTGACTCCATTCCACTCCACTCCACTCCATTTTCCTCCACTCCATTCCATTCCATTCCATTACCTTTCACTCCATTGCATTTCATCCCTTTCTTTCGAAAGTATATCACTGTGTCACACAGGCTGGAGTGCAGTGGCACAATCTCAGCGCACATTACATGTCAACTTTCCTTTGCATTGCATTCTATTGCATTGCATTCCATTGCATTCCATTCCAATCCACTCCACTCCACTCCACTACATTCCATTACATCCGATTCCATTCCACTCCATTCCTCTCCTTTCCACTCCACTGCACTCCACTCCACTCCATTTCACTCCATCCCATTCCATTCCGCTCCATTCCACTGCACTCCACTTCACCCCTCTCCACTCCACTGCACTCCAGTCCACTCCATTCCATTCCATTCTGCTGCATTCCATTCCACTGCATTCCATTCCATTCCATTCTTTTGAGAGTATCTCACTCTTTCACCCACCTGGAACACAGTGGCACAATCTCAGCTCACATTTCATTTCACCATTCCATTCCATTCTTTTCCATTCCAATCCATTGCATTCCATTCCACTCCACTTCACTCCACTCCAATCCAATACATTCCACTCCACTGCAATCGACTCCATTCCAGTCCACTCCACTCCTTTCCATGCCATCCCATTCCATTCCACTCCTTTCCACTCCACTCCATTCCACTTCATTCCATTAAATTACATTGCATTCCATTCTAAATCCATTCCTTTCCATTCCTTTCTTTCGACAGGAACTCACTCTGTCACCCATGCTGGAGTGCAGTGCACAATCTCAGCTCACATTTCATTTTACCATTCCATTTCATTCCATGCCATTCCATTCCACTGCACTCCAATCCACTCCATTCCATTCCAATCCACTCCGCTCCAATCCATTCCATTCCATTCCAATCCCTTCCGTTCCACTCCTTTCTTTCGACCGATCTCCCTCTGTCACACAGGCTGTAGCGCAGTGGCACAATCTCAACACATATTTCTTTTGACCATTCCATTCCATTCCATTCCATTCCATTCCATTCCATTCCACTCCACTCCTCTCCATTCCTTTCCACTCCACTCCACTCCACTCCACTCCACTCCACTCCATTCCACTCTACCCTACTCCACTCCACTCCATTTCATTCCATCCCATTCCATTCCACTCCTTTCCACTCCACTCCACTCTATTCCATTCCATTGCACTCCATTCCATTCCAATATTTTCTTTCGACAGGATCTCACTCTGTCACCCAGGCTGTAGTGCAGTGAAACAATCTCAGATCATATTTCATTTCCCCTTTCCATTTCTTTCCATTCCATTCCATTCCATGCCATTCCACTCCACTCCACTCCACTCCACTCCACTCCATTCTATTCCATTCCATTCCACTCCATTCCATTCCAATATTTTCTTTCGACAGGATCTCACTCTGTCACCCAGGATGGAGTACAATGGCAAAATCTCAGCTCACATTTCATTTCACCATTCCATTCCATTGCATTCCACTCCACTCCACTCCACTCCACTCCTCTCCACTCCTCTCCACTCCACTCTGCTTCACGCCACTCCAGTCATTCCATTCTACTCCATTCCATTCCATTCCTTTATTTCGAATGGATCTCACTCTGTCACACAGACTGGAATGCGGTGGTGGCACAATCTTAGCTCACATTTAATTTCTCCATTCCATTCCAATCCATTCCATACCATTCCATTCCATTCCACTCCACTCCACTCCATTCCATTCCACTCCACTCCACTCCATTTCATTCCATTCCATTCCATTCCA
>NT_187391.1:166067-167918 GCF_000001405.40 Homo sapiens | reverse complement strand
CCATTCCACTCCATTCCACTCCATTCCACTCCACTCCACTCCATTCTATTCCATTCCTTTCCATTTCACTCCATTCCATTCCATTCCATTCCTTTCTTTCGACAGGATCTCATTCTGTCACCCAGGCTGGAGTATGGTGGCACTATCTCAGTTCACATTTCATTTCACCATTGCATTCCATTCCATTGCATTCCATTCCATTGCATTCCATTCCATTCCAACCATTCAATTCCTTTCCATCCAATTCCATTCCACTCCTGTGAACTCCACTCCATTCCATCTCATTCCATTCCATTCCATTTCATTCCATTTCACTCCACTCTATTACACTACACTCAATTCTACTCCACTCCACAGCACTCCACTCCATTCCACTCTATTCTGTTTCACTATACTGCATTTCCTTCCACTCCATTCCACTCTATTCTGTTTCACTATACTGCATTTCCTTCCACTCCATTCCACTCCACTCCACTCCATTCCACTCCACTCCACTCCATTTCACTCCACTCCATTCCATTCTACTCAACTCCATTCCACTCCCCTCCACTCCATTCCATTCAATTCCATTCCATTGCACTCCATTCCATACCACTCCACTCCATTCAATTCCAGTCCATTTCATTACACTCCATTACACTCCATTCCATTCCACTCCACTCCACTCCAATCCACTCCTTTCCATTCCATTCCATGCCTTTCCGTTCCACTTCATTCCATTCCATTCCATTCCTTTCCACACCAATCCATTCCCCCCACTCCATTCCTTTCCAGTCCACGCCTTTCCATTCCACTCTATTCCACTCCACACTACTCCATTCCACTGTACCCAATTCCATTCCATTCCACTCCATTCCACACAACTCAACTCCATTCCACTCCACTCCACTCCATTCCATTCCACTCCACTCTATTCCACTCCACTCCATTCTATTCCATTCCACTCCATTCCATTCCATTCCCCTCACTCCATTTCTTTCCACTCCTTTAGACTTCAGGTCATTTCCTTCCACAACATTCAACTCTGTTCCACTCCATTCCACTCCTTTCCATTCCACTACATCCCCCTCCATTGCATTCCATTCTGCCCCATTGCATTCCACTCCACAACATTCCACCCCATTCCACTCCATTCCATTCCAATCCACTTCACTCCACTCTACTTGACTCCACTGCAATCGATTATATTCCATTCCTTGCCCATCCATTCCTTTCCATTCAACTCTATCCATTCCACTCCTCTCCACTCCATTCCACTCCACTCCATTCCATTCCACTAAACTCCATTCCATTGCACTCCGTTCCATTCCGTTCAACTCCATTCCATTCCACTCCAATCCATTCCATTATACTCCACTCCATTGCCCTCCATTAAACTTCATTCCTATACATTCCATTCCTTTACATTCCATTTCATTCTGCGCCACTCCATTCCATTCCACTCCATTCCATTCCACTCCACTCCTCTCCACTCCTCTCCTTTTCACTCCATGCCATTCCATTCCTCTCTACTACATTCCATTCCACTCCGTTCCACTCCACTCCACTCCATTCCATTCCATTCCATTAATTCCCATTTGATTCCACTCCATTCCATTCCATTCAATTCCACGGCACTCCAATTCATTCCACTCCATTCTGTTCCATTCCACTCCACTCCACTCCATTTAATTTCATTACATTCCCCTCCCTTCCATTCCATTGCATTCCACTAAACTCCATTCCATTGCATTCCACTCCACTCCACTCCATTTCATTTCATTCCACTAAATTCCATTCCATTTTACTCCTTTCCACTCCACTCCACCCCGTTCCATTCCACTCCACTCCACTCTACTCCACTCCACTCCA
>NT_187391.1:161984-163892 GCF_000001405.40 Homo sapiens | reverse complement strand
TTCTATTTCATTTCATTCCCTTCCGTTAAATTCATTTCCATTCAATGCCATTCCACTCAACTCCGTTGCATTCCCCTCCACTCCACTCCACCCCATTCCATCCCACTCCAATCCACCCCATTTCATTCCACTCCACTCCATTCGATTCCAATAATCTCAACTAAATTCCACTCCATTCGACTCCATTCATTCCAGTCCAGTCCATTCCACTCCACTCCACTTCATTACACTCCACTGCATTCCACTCCACTGCACTCCATCCCGTCAACACTCCATTCCATTCGACTCTTCTCCACGCCACTCCACTCCATGACACTGCACTCCACTACACTCCACAACATTCCATTTCAGTTCACTCCATTCCATTCCATTCTATTCCACTCCACTCCACTCCAATCCACTCCATTCCACTCCACTCCACTCCACACCACTCTACTCCACTCCATTCCATTCCATTCCCCAAAACTGCATTCCATTCCGTTCCACTCCATTCCATTAGACTCCACTGAATTCCATTCCACTCCAGTGCATTCCATTGCAATGCACTCCACTCCATTGCACCCCATTCCTCTCCATTCCATTCCTTTCTGCTCCATTCTACTCCTCTCCATTCCATTCCTCTCCACTCCTCTCCATTCCATTCCACTTCATTCCACTCTGTTCCTATCCAGTCCATTTTATTCCACTCCACTGCATTCCGTTCCACTCCATTCCAGCCCATTCCCCTCCATTCCATTCCCCTCCATTCCATTCGACCCCATTCCATTCCAATCCACTCTACTCCATTCCAATCTACTCGACTCCAATCAATTACACTCTCTCCATTCCACTAAACTCCATTAAATTCCACTTCGTTTCATTCCATTCCATTCCATTCCATTGCATTCCATTCCATTCCATTCCATTCCATTCCATTCTATTCCACTCCACTTCATTCCATTCCACAGTCCTCCATTCCATTCCACTCCATTCCTTTAATTTCCATTCCTTTCCTTTCCATTCCATTCCACTCCACTCCATTCAAGTCCATTCCATGCCATTCCACTCCACTCCACTCCATTCCACTCCTTTCCATTCAACTCCATTTCATTCTATTCCTTTCCATTCCACTTCACTCCATTCCATTCCATTTCGCTCTACTCCATTCCACTAAATTCCATTGCATTCCACTCCACACCACTCCATTCCAATCCACTCGTCTCCATGTCATTCCATTCCATTCCATTTCATTCCATTCCATTCCACTCCATTCCATTCCATTCCACTCCATTCCATTCCATTCCACTCCATTCCATTCCATTCCACTCCATTCCATTCCATTCCACTGCATTCCATTCCATTCCACTGCAGTCCATTTATTCCACTCCACTGCACTCCATTCCACTCCATTCCACTCCATTCTACTACATTCTCTTCCCCTCCATTCCATTCCAATCCCCTCCGCTCCATTCCACTCCAAAACATTCTACTCCACACCACACCATTCTACTCCTTTCCACTCCATTCCATTCCACTCCTCTTCACTCGATACCACTCCACTCCATTCCATTCCACTGCACTCCACTCCATTCCACTCTACTCCATGCCACTCCACTCCAGTCTATTCCACTGCACTCCGTTCCATTACACTCCGCTGCACTCCACTCCACTTCAGTCCACTCCATTGTACTCCACTCCATATCATTCCTTTCCAATCCATTCATTTCCGTTCCACTCCATTCCATTTCTCTCCGCTCCATTCCATTTCACTCCACTCCATTCCATTCCAATCCACTCCACTCCAATACACTCCATTCCATGTCACTCCATTCCGTTCCATTCCACTCCACTCCATTCCATTCCATTCCAATGCACTCCATTCCATCCCACGTCATTTCTTTCCACTCCACTCCATTCCTTTCTAACCCA
>NT_187391.1:156263-158783 GCF_000001405.40 Homo sapiens | reverse complement strand
CCATTCCATTCCACTCCATTCTATACGTTCCAATCCATTGTATCCCATCCATTGCACCCCATTCCGTTCCATTTCACTTCATTTCATACCATTCCACTCCACTCCACTCCACTCCACTTCTTTCCATTCCATTCCTAGCCATTCCACACCAATCCACTCCACTCTTCTCCATGTCATTCTGCTCCATTCCATTCCACTCCTCTCCATTCCATTCCACCCAACACTATTCCAGTCCTCTCCATTCCACTCCACCACATTCCATTCCATTCCTTTCCATTCCATTCATTTCCATTCCACTCCACTCCATTCCATTTAACTCAACTATATTTCACTGTATTCTCCTCATTCCATTCCACTCCACTCCACTCCAGTCCACTCCACTCCATTCCTCCCCTTTCCATTCCTTTCCATTCCACTCTACTCCACTGCATTCCATTCCACTCCACTCCACTCAACTCCATTCGAGTCCATTCCAATACATTCCATTCCACTCCACTCCATTCTACTCCACTAGACTCCTTTCCACTCCCGTCCACCCCTTTCCACTCCATTTCACTCCATTCCACTCTATTCCACTACACTTCATTCCACTCCAATCCATTCCATTCCATTACAATCCAATCCACTCGGTTACATTCCACTTCACTCCATTCCAATCCACTCGATTCCCTTCAACTCCACCCCATTCCATTCCACTCCTATGCATTCTTTCCATTAAACTCCATTCCACTCCATTCCATTCCAAACCCCTCCACTATATTCCATTCAGTTCCACCCCACTCCACTATACTCCATTCATTTCTAATCCATTCCACTCCATTCCATTCCATTCTGCTCCACTTAGTTCTATTCCACTCCACTCCATTCCATTCCACTCCATTCCATTCCACTACACTCCATTCCATTACACTGAACTCTATTCCACTCCACTCTATTCCACTCCACTCCATTGCTCTCCAATCCATTCCATTCCATTGCTTCCCACTCCATTACATTCCACTCCACTCCACTTCATTCCATTACACTCCACTCCATTCCACTCCATTCCATTACACTCCACTCCAATCAAATCCATTTCATCCCATTCCTTTGCATTCCTTTCTACTCCACTCCACTCCATTCCACTCCACTCCACTCCATTCCACTCCACTCCACTCCATTCCACTCCACTCCATTATTTGCACTCGATTCCATTCCAATCTACTCTATTCTACTCCATTCCAATACATTGCATTCCACTCCACTCCATTCCATTCCATTCCATTCCATTCCATTCCATTCCATTCAATTCCACTTCAATCCAGTGCACTCCAATCCATTCCACTCCATTCCACTCCATTCTATTCCATTCCACTGCATTCCACTCTACTCTATCCCACTCCACTCCTTTCCATTCCACTCCATTCCATTCCAGTCCACTCCACTCCTCTCCACTCAACTCCATTCCAATCCATTCCATTCCATTCCACTCGATTCCATTCCAGTCCACTCCATTCTATTCCATTCCATTCCAATACACTCCACTCCATTCCACTCCACTCCATTCCATTTCACTCCACTCCTTTATATTCCATTCCACCCCGTTCCATTCCATTCCACTGCACTCCACTCCATTCCACTGCACTGCAGTCCATTCCACTTCAGTCCATTCCATTCCACTATTCCCCACTCCACTCCACTCCACTCCATTCCATTCCACTCCACTCCCATCTACTCCACTGCATTTCATTCAAGTCCACTCCATTTTTTTCCATTCCACTCCAATCCACTCCACTCCTTTCCAATCCACTCTATTCCACTACATTCCATTCCATTGCTTTCCCCTCAATTCTTGTCCACTTCACTCAATTCCACTCCAGTCCATTCCATTCCACTCCAATCCACTCCACTCCTTTCCAATTCACTCTATTCCACTACATTCCATTCCATTGCTTTCCCCTCAATTCTTGTCCACTTCACTCAATTGCACTCCAGTCCATTCCATTCCACTCTACTCCACTTCATTCCATTTCATTCCACTCCACTCCACTCCACTCTAATCCACTCCATTCCATTCCATTCCATTTCATTCCACTCCACTCCACTCTAATCCATTCCACTCCATTCCTTTCCAATCCACTCAATTCCATTCCACTCCACTTCATTCCATTCCACTCCATTACTCTCCACTCCACTTCATTCCACTCCACTCTTTTCCATTCCACTCCACTCCATTCCGTTTCTTTCCCCTCCATTCCATTCCACTCCACTCCATTCCATTCCATTCCATTCCTTTCCTCTCCACTCTAATCCATTCCAATACACTGCATTTCACTCCACTTCCTTCCATTCCATTCCTTTCCACTCCATTCCATTCCACTGCAATCCTTTCCATTCCACTCATCTCCATTCCATTCCACTCGTCTCTATTCCCCTCCTTTCCATTTCACTCCACTGTACTCCATTCTATTCCAATCGTCTTCATTCCAGTCCACTCCAGTCTATTCCACTGCTCTCCATCACTCTCCAATGCTTTCCATT
>NT_187391.1:116078-156238 GCF_000001405.40 Homo sapiens | reverse complement strand
CTATTCCATTCCACTCCACTCCATTCCATTCCATTCCACTCCACTGCACTCCATTTCATTCCACTCAACTCCACTGTATACCACTCCATTATAATGCTTTCCATTCCACTCCACTCCGTTCCAATCCACTCCATTCCATTCCACTCCACTCCTCTACACTCCACAACACTCCTTTCCTTTCCATTCCATTCCATTCCATTCCTTTCCATTCCATTCCATTTATTTCCATTCCATTTCTTTCCACTCCATTCCATTCCTTTCCATTGTACTCCACTCCACTACATTGCATTCCTATCCAATCCACTCCTTTCCACTCCATTCCATGCCATTCCTCTCGGTTCGATTCCACTTCACTCAACACCACTGCATTCCATTGCACTCCATTCCATTCCATTCCACTCAACTCCACTCCATGCCACTCCACTTCATTGAACTCAACTCCATTCCATTCCATCCCAATCCACTCCATTCTGTTTTATTCCACTCCACTCCATTTCATTCCACTCCACACATTCCACTCTATTTCACTCCATTTCATTCTATTCCAATTCATTCCATTCAGCTCCACTCCACTCCACTCCATTTCACTAAACTCCACTCCATTCCATTCCATTCCACTCCACTGCACTCCAATCCAATCCATTCCATTCCACTCCATTCCAATCCACTCCATTCCACTCCACTGCTTTTCACTCCACTCCACTCCATTCCATTCCACTCCACTCCACTCCTTTCCATACCACTCAATTCCTTTCCATTCCATTCCATTCTATTCCACTCCATTCACTTCCACTCCAAACCACACCACTCCACTCTACTTAACTCCATTACATTCCATTGCTTTCCATACCACTCCACTCTATTCCTTTCCACTCCACTCCATTCCATGTCATTGCACTCCATTCCACTCCACTCCACTATTCTCAACTCCACTCCATTCCATTATACTCCACTTCAATCCTCTCCCCTCCAGTCCACTCCATTCTACACTCCTCTCCTTTCTATTCCAATCCACTCCATTCCATTCCACTCCATTAAATTCCATTCCTCTCAATTCCATTCCATTCCATTCCATTACACTTCACTCTATTCCACTCAACTCCACACCACTCCACTCCTTTCCATTCCATTCCAATCCATTGCATTCTACTTCACTCCAATCCATTTCACTCCACTCCATTCCATTTTATTCCACTCCATTCCACTCCATGCCATTCCATGCCATTCTACTTCATTCCATTCCAATCCACTCCACTTCACTCCATTTCACTCCATTCCATTCCATTCTACTGCATTCCATTCCACTCAAATCCTTTCCACTGTACTCCTCTAAATTCCATTCCACTCCTCTCCATTTCACTCCATTCCATTCCATTCCCCTCCACTCAATTCCATTCCTTTCCACTCCACTTCATTCCATTCATCTCCACTCCACTCCATTCTACTCCACTCCGTTCCACTCCATTCAATTCCGCTCCACTCCATTCCATTCCACACCACTGCATTTCACTCCTGTCCATTCCATTCAGTTCCATTCCACTTCATCCACTCCATTCAACCCCATTTCCCTCCACTCCAGTACACTCTTCTCCACTTAACTCCATGCCATTGCATTCCATTCCGTTCCATTCTACTCCACTCCACTTTTTTCCACTCTACTGAACTCCTTTCCGCTCAACTCCAATCCACTCCATTCCATTCCATCCCACTCAATTCCATTCCATTCCACACCATTCTTTTCAAATCCATTCCACCCCACTCTTCTCGATTCCACTCCATTCCATTGCACTCCACTCGATTCCATTATATACCATTCCACTACATTCTATTCCACTACGCTCCTTTCCACTCCATTCTACTCCATTCCTTTCTGCTCCACTCCACTGCAGGCCTCTCCACTCCATTCCACTCCACTCCACACTACTCCAATCTACTAAAATCCACTCCATTCCCTTCCACTTCACTCTACTTCAATCCACTCCATTCTATGCCGCTCCATGGCAGGCCATTCCACTCCATTCCACTCCACTACACATGACTCCAATCTACTAAAATCCACTCCATTACATTCCACTACACTCTACTCCACTACAGTCCATTCCATTCCACTCCACTCCTTTCCATTTCACTCCACTAAATTCCCTTCCAATCCATTCCACTCCATTCCATTTCACTCCATTCTAATCCATTCCAGGCCATTCCATTCCTTTCCTTTCCACTCCACTCCACTCTAATCCAATCCAATCCATTCAATAACTTTTCTTTAAATTCCATTCCATTCCATTCCACTCCACTATGCTGCATGGCATTGCACTCCATTCCATTTCATTCCACTCCAATGCATTGCTTTCCATTCCATTCCATTCCACTCTACTCGATTCGGTTCCACTCCTTTTTATTCCAGTCCACTCCATTCCATTCCACTCCAATTCATTCCATTCCACTGCACTCCATTCCACTCCTCTCCACTGCATTCCTCTCCACTCCACTCCACTCCATTCCACTCCACACCATTCCTATCTACTCCAGTCCATTCCCTTCCACTCCACTCCATTCCATTCCACTCTGTTCCATTCTGCTCCATTTGATTCCATTCCATTGAACTCCATTCCAGTCCATTCAATTCCACTACACTCCACTCCAATCCATTCTGTTCCATTCCATTCCACAGTACTCCATTATTTTCCAATCCATTCCCCTCCATTCAAGTCCATTACACTCCACTCCATTCCATTCAACTCCACTCCTTTCCATTCCAATCTATTGAATTCCTTTCCATTCTACTCCATTCCATTCCATTTCACTCCATTCCATTCCATTCCACTCCAGTACACTCCAATTCACTCCATTCCATTCCATTCCATGCCATTCCACACCAATCAACTCCACTCCACTCAATTCCATTCCACTCCATTCCATTCCACTCCTCTCCATTCCATTCCCCTCAACTCCTTTCTACTCCACTCCATTCCATTCTGCTCAACTCCATTCCACCCCACTCCATTCCATTCCACTCCATTGCACTCCACTCCATTGCACTCCACTCCATTCTGATCCACTCCATTCCACTCCACTCCATTCCACTGCACTCCATTGCACTCCACTCCATTCCATTCCATCCGTTTCCACTCCATTCCTTATTATTCCACTACACTCCATTCAATTCTACTTCATTCCATTCCATTCAACTCCATTCCACTTCATTCTATTCCACTCCACTCCACTCCATTCCATTCCGTTCCACCCCAATTCACTACACTCCAGTCTTTCCAATCCATTCCACTGCATTCCATTCCATTCTACTCCATTCCGTTCCATTCTTCTCCATTCTTTTCCGTTCCAATCCATTCCATTCCATACCATTCCACACCAATCCAATCCACTTCACTCCATTCTATTCCACTCCATTCCACTCTAATACACAACATTCAATTCTACTCAACTCTATTCCCCTCCAATCCATTCCACTTCACTCCATTGCACTCCATTGCATTTCATTCCATTCCTTTCCACT
The DNA here is from genome assembly GCF_000001405.40 of Homo sapiens. Classification (NCBI taxonomy): domain Eukaryota; kingdom Metazoa; phylum Chordata; class Mammalia; order Primates; family Hominidae; genus Homo; species Homo sapiens. The sequence continues at coordinate 152,724 of NT_187391.1, read as the reverse complement.
CCTTACCTTTGCACTCCACTCCACTCTATTGCATTCTGCTCCACTCCATTCCAGTCCATTCCACTGCATTCTATTCCACTCCACTCCACTGCAGTCCACTCCAATCCATTCCATTCCATTCCATTCCACTCAACTCCATTCCATTCCTTTCCTCTCCACTCTATTTCACTCCACTCCATTCCAATCCACCCCTTTCCACTCCATTCCACTCCAGTGCATACCATTCCACTCCATTCCATTCCACTTCACTCCATTCTACTCCACTACATTACACTCCACTCCACTCAACTCCACTCCACTCCTCTCCACCCCACTCCACTCCATGCCATTCCATTCCATTCCATTACCCTCCACTCCATCGCATTCCATTGCATTCCGTTCAACTCCACCCCACTCCAATCCACTGCACTACTTTCCATACCACTCCAATGCATTCCATTCCATTCCATTTCATTGCACTCCACTCCACTCCATTCCACTCCATTCCAATCCATTCCATTGCATTAAGTTCCGTTTCATTCCATTCCACTATATTTCACTGCAGTCCATTCCATTCCACTCCACTCCATTTAATTCCACTCCAGATCATCCAGCTGCATTCCCTCCCATTCCACTCCATTCCACTCCACTCCATTCCACTCCACTCCATCCCATTCTAAAACATTCCACTCCATTCCAATCCAATCCATTCCGTTCCGTTCCACTTCATTCATTTCATTCCACTCTACTCCCTTCCATTCCACTCAACTCCACTCCATTCCGCTCCATTGCATTCCATTCCACACCATTCAATTCCACTCCACGCTATCTCATTCAACTCTGCTATATTCCACTCCACTCCACCCCATTCCATTTCATTCCACTCTACTCCACTCCACTGCACCCCACTCCATTCCACTCAATTACAATCCACTTCAATCCACTCCACTCTATTTGACTTCACTCCATTCAATTCCATTCCTCTACACTACATTACATTCCAATCCACTCCATTCCCCTCCTCTCCATTCCATTCCATTCCAATCCACTCCATTCCTTTCCATTTAATTCCACTCATTTCCATTCCTCTCAACTCCACTCCATTCCATTCCTCTCCACTCCACTCCATTCCACTCCACACAATTCCATGCCACTCCATTCCACTCTACTCCATTGCTTTCCACACCACTCCATTCCAGTCCACTCAATACCATTCCAAACCATTCCATTCCATTCCATTTCATTCCATTACATTCCCGTCTATTCCACTTAAGTCCCTTCCATTCAACCCCATTGCACTCCTCTCCAGTACACTCATCTCATGCCCACTCAATTCCATTCCATTCCATTTCATTCCGTTCCAATCCACTCCACTCCACTCCATTCCACTCCACTGCACTCCTATCCACTCAAGTCCAGTCCATTCCAATTCATTCCATTCCTTTCGATTCCACTCCACTCCACTGACTTATACTCCATTCCATTGCACTTAACTCTATTTCATTCCATTCCATTAAACTCCATTCTATGACACTCCACTCCATTCTACTCCGTTCTATTTCATTCCATTCCACTCCACTCCACTCCACACCACTCCACGCCATTCCACTCCACTCCACTCCACACCACTCTACTCCATTCCACTCCACTCCACACGACTCCACTCTACTAAAATCCATTCCATTCCATTCGTGTTCACTCTACTCCACTCCACTCCATTCCACTCCACTAAAATCCACTCCAATTTACTCCACTCCAATCCATTCCATTCCATTCCATTCAATTTCATTCCATTCCACTCCACTCCATTGCATTCCATTCCATTCCATTCCACTCCATTCCACTCCACACCAATACACTCCACTCCATTCAATTCCAATCCATTCCACTCCATTCCATTCCAATCCACTCCACTCTTCTTCACTCACCTCCACTCCATTCCTTCCCATTCCATTCCACTCCATTCTAATCCATTCCACTCGACTCCACTCCATTCCAAGCCACTCCATTCCACTCAAATTAATTCCACTCCATTCCATACTACTCCAATTCATTCCATTACATTTCACTCCATTCCATTCCACTCTATTCCACTCCACTCCATTCGACTCACTCCATTCCATTCCACTCCATTCCATTCCACTCCACTCCACTCAACTCCATTCCACTCCATTCTCTTCCATTCCATTCCACTGAATTCCATTCCACTCCACTCCATTCTATTCCACTCCATTCCAATACACTCCACTCCATTCCACTCTACTACATTCCATTCCAGTCCACTCCATTCCATTCCATTCCACTCCGTTCCATTCCATTCCACTCTACTCCTCTCAAGTCCATGCACTTCCGTCCATTCCAATCCAGTCCATTCCATTCCATTCAATTCCATTTCCTTCCATTGCACTCCATTCCATTCCGTTCCACTCCGTTCCATTCCATTCTATTGCCTTCCATTCAATTCCATTCCATTCCATTCCACTGCACTCCACTCCACTCCACTCACCTCCATTCCACTACATTCCCCTACATTCCATTCCACTCCGTTCCATTGCAATCCACTCCGCTCCATTCCATTCCTTTTCATTCATCTCCACTCCATTCAATTCCACTCCACTCCACACCATTCCACTACATTGCATTCCATTCCACTCCATTCAATTGTACTCCACTCCACATCATTCCAATCCAGTCCACTCCACTCCAATCCACTCCAGCACACTCGCTTCCATTCCACTCACTCATCTATACTTCACTACAATCCACTCCAATCCATTCGATTCCTCTCCATTCAATTCTATTCCACTACACTCCATTGCTTTCCATTTCATTCCATTTCACTCCATTGCATTCCTTTCTATTCCTCTCCACTCAACTCCACTACACTGCATTCCATTCCATTCAACTTCATTCCAGTCCATTCCTCTCCACTCCATTCTATTCCATTCCATTCCTTTTCACTCCATTCCACTCCACTCCGCTACAATCCACTCCATTCTTTTCCACTCAATTCCACTCCATTACATTCCAGTCCACCCCTCTCTGCTTTGCTTCACTCTACTCCATTCCTGCCCATTCCATTCTTTGCCATTCCATTCCATTCCAACCCACTCCACTCCACTCTACACCACTCCGTTCTAATCTACTTCATTCCATTCCATTCCACTCGATTACATTCCACTCAAATCCATTCCATTCCACTCCACTCCACTCGACTCCACTCCACTCCACTCCACTCCATTCCATTCCACTGCATTCCATTCCAATTCACTCCATTGTATTCCACTCCATTACAATACACTCCACACCAATCCCATCCATTCCATTCCATTCCAGTCCACTCCATTCCATTCGACTCCCCTACACTATATTCCACTCCAATCCATTCCATTCCACTAAATTCCATTCCATTCCATTCAACTCCATTCCATTCCATTCCATTCCATTCCACTTCACTCCATTCCATTCCACACCACACCATTCCACTCTGTTTTATTCCATTCCATTCGATTCTACTCCATTCCATTCCACTCAAATCCATTTCATTCCATTCCACTCCATTCCACTCCACTCTATTCCACTACACTCCATTCTTTCATTCCATTATACTCCTTTCCATTCCACTTCTCTCCATTCTATTTCACTCCATCCCAATACACTCCACTCCATTCCCCTCCACTCCATTCCATTCCGTTCCACTCCATTCCATTCCATTCCATTCCATTCATCTCCATTCCATTGATTTCCATTTCACTTCACACCATTCCTTTCCATTCAATTCCACTCCATCCAACTCTACTAAAATCCACTCCATTCCATTCCACTTCACTCTACTCCACTCAATTCCATTCCATTCCATTTCACTCCACTCCACTACACTCCAGTCCACTTCAATCTCTTACACTCCACTGCATTCCAATCCAATCCACTCCATTCCATTCCACTAGCCTCCATTCCTTTCTACTCAAATCCATTCAACTCCACTCCATTCCGTTACATTCCAATCCACTTCACTCTATTGCAATCCACTCCATTCCATTCCACTCCACTCCATTCCATTCCACTAAACTCCATTCCATTCCTCTCAATTCCTTTCCATTTCATTCATGTCCATTCCATTCCATTCCATTCCAGTCAACTCCACTCCATTCCATTCTGTTCCACTTCTCTCCACTACACTCTATTCCTTTCCAATCCTTTGCACTCCACTCCATTCCCTTCCACTCCACTACATTGCGTTGCACTACACTGCATTCCTCTTCACTCCGTTCATTTCCTTTCCACTCCAAACCGTTCCATTCCAATCAACATCACTCTATTCCACTCCACTCCATTCCATTCCACTCCACTCCATTACATTCAACTCCATTCCATTCTATTCCATTCCATTCAACTACACTCCACTTCATTCCATTCCATGCCACTCCACTCCATACCATTCCATTCCACTCCATTCCATTCCTTACCAGTCCATTCCATTCCATTCCACTCCATTCCAATCCATTGCACTCCATTCCATTCCTTCTATTCCATCCTTTCCATTCCCCTCCACTTCACTCCACTCTACTCTAATCCAATCCATTCCTTTCCTTTCCTTTCCTTTCCTTTCCTTTCCATTCCATTCCATTCCATTCCACTCCACTGCAATCTACTCTATTCCATCCCGGTCCATTCCATTCTATTCCACTCCACTCCTCTCCATTCCTTTCCACTCCACTCCACTCCATTCCTTTCAATTCCTTTCCATTTGTATCTACTGCATTCCATTCCATTGCATTCCATTCCATGCCATTCCATTCTGCTTCGTTCCACTCTATTCCATTCCATTCCATTCCATTCCATTCCATTCCATTCCATTCCATTCCTTTTCATTCCATTCCATTCCATTCCATTCCTTTCCGTTCCATTCCTTTCCGTTCCATTCCTTTCCGTTCCATTCCTTTCCATTCCTTTCCGTTCCATTCCTTTCCGTTCCATTCCATTCCATTCCATTTCACTCCATTCCATTCCATTCCTTTCCATTTCACTCCATTCCTTTCCATTCCATTCCATTCCATTCCATTCCATTCCAATCCTTTCAACTACACTCCTTTCCATTGCACTCCACTTCATTCCATTCCATTCAAGTCCATTATACTCCTCTACACTCCATTCCCTTCCATTCCACTCCACTCCTTTCCATTGCACTCCACTTCATTCCATTCCATTCAAGTCCATTATACTCCTCTACACTCCATTCCCTTCCATTCCACTCCACTGCACTGCAGTCCATTCCTTTTCAATCCCTTCCACTCCATTCCATTCCATTACACTCCACTCCGTTCCATTCCACTCCACTCTTTTTTTCCATTCCATTTCATTCTATACCATTCCAGAAGAATCCACTCCACTCCACTCCATTCCATTCCACTCCATTCCATTACACTACAGACCTTTCAATTCCACTCAACACTCTTCAACTCTACTCTATTCCACTCCACTCCATTGCACTCCACTCCTTTCCATTCCATTTCTTTCCAATACATTCGATTCCCGTCCATGCCACTCAATTCCTTTCCACTCCACTCCACTCCTTTCCTTTCCACTCCACTCCATTTAATTCCACGCCATTCCATCCCAATTCATTCCATTCCATTCCACTCCACTCCATTCCACTCCAATCCATTCCACTCCACTCCTCTCCTATCCACTCCACTCCATTCTACTCTTCTCCATTCAATTCCATTCTACTTCACTCCATTACACTCCATTCCACTCCATTTCCCTTCTCTCCATTCCATTCCATTCCACTGCACTCCACTCCTGTCCTCTCCATTCCACTTGACTCCACTCCATTCCATTCCATTCCATTCCACTCCAATCCATTTAATTCCATTCCATTCCATTCCACTGCATTCCTCTCCACTCCCCTCCTCTCCACTCCATTGAACTTCACTCCGTTATACTCCATTCCATTCCACTCCACTCCACTCCACTTCACTCCATTCCTGCCCATTCCATTCCACTCCACTCCACAACATTCCACTGCACTCCATTTCACTCCACTTAATTCCATTCCATTCCACTCCATTCCATTACACTCTATTTCACTCCACTCCATTACATACCATTCCATTCCACTCCATTCCATTACACTCTATTCCACTCCACTCTATTCCCGTCCACTCCATTCCATTCCACTCCACTCCACTCAACTCCATTTCACTCCATTCCAGTTACTTCAAGTAACTTCCGTTCCACTCCATTGCATTCTATTCCAGTCCATTCCAATACACTCCACTCCATTCCATTCCAGTCCATTCCATTCGTCTCCACTCCACTCCATTCCTTTCCATTCTACTCCACTCAACTGCATTCCACTCCATTCCACTCGACTCCATTCCATTCCACTCCATTCCAATCCACTCGACTCCAGTCCACTCCAATCTATTCAATTCCACTCCACTCCATTCCTCGGCACCCCACTCCATTACACTCGACTCCACTCTACTCCACTCCACTCCATTCCATTCCTGTCCACTCCATTCCATTCCATCCCATTCGACTCAATTCCACTTGATGCCAATCCATTCTATTCCATTAAACTCCACTCCTTTCCACTCCACCACATTCCACTGAAATCCACTCCACTCCATTCCACTCCACTCCACTCCATTTCATTCCACACCTCTTCCCTCCACTCCATTCCACTCCACTCCACTCCATTCTATTGCACTCCGCTTCATTCAACTCCACTCTTCTCCATTCCTATCCACTCCACTCCGCTGCACACCATTCCACTCCACTCCACTCCACGCCGTTCCACTCCACGCCGTTCCACTCCACTCCACTCCACTCCATTCCATTCCATTCCATTCCATTCCACTCCATTCCATTCCACTCCAAACCTTTCCATTCCTGTCAACACCATTCCACACCTTTGCAGTACATTCAACTCCATTCCATTCCACTCTACTCCATTCCACTCCAATCCATTCCATTCCATTACATTACACAGCATTCCATTCCATTCCAATCCATTTCAATCAATTCCATTCCTTTCCAATCCATTCCATTCCATTCCCTTCCATAACATTGCACTGCACTGCACTCCATGCCCCTGCACTCCACTCCACTCGACTCGAATCCATTCCAATCCATTCAATTCCATTCCATTCTCTTCCATTCCACTCCATACCATAACACTCCATTCCATTCCATTGCATTCCACTCCACTTAATTCCATTCCACTGCCCTCCATTCCATTCCATTCCACTGCACTCCATTGCATTGCACTCCATTCCAATCCACTCCTCTAAATTCCACTCTGCTCCACTTCATTCCATTCCATTGCACTCCATTTAATTCCACTCCACAGCATTCCATGCCTTTCCATTCATCTCTTTCCATTCATTTCCACTGAACTGCATTCCATTCCACTCCACTTCACTCCATTCCACTCCATTCCAATCCAATCCATTCCATTCCTGTGCATTCCACTCCACTCCATTCCACTGCACTCCATTCCACTCCACTCCACTCTACTCCACATCACTCCGTTCCATTACACTCCACTTCATTTCATTCCACTCTACTCCATTCCATTCAACTCCATTCCATTCCATTCCATTCCATTCCGTTCCATTCCGTTCTTTATTATTCCATTCCACTCCAGTCAATTTCACTTCACTCCATTCACTCCACTGCATTCCTTTCCATTCCATTCCACTCCATTCCATTTCTCTCCACTCCATTCCACTCCATTCCATTCCACTCCACTACACTAAACTCAACTCCATTGAATTCCATTCCGTTCCATTCCACTGCACTCCATTCCATAGCACTCCAGTCCTCTCAATTGCACTCCATTCCACTCCATTCCACTCCATTCCATTCTATTCCACTCCACTCCATTCCATTGCGTTCCATTCCATTCCACTCCACTACGCTCCTCTCCCATCAATTCCAATACATTCTGTTCCATTCCCGTCCACTTTATTCTGTTCCACTCCACACCATTCCATTCCAATCCACTTCACTCCTTTACTTTCCATTCCACTCCATTCCACTCAACTATACTGAGCTACACTCCATTCCGTTAAATTCCACTCCACTCCATTCCACTCCATTCCACTCCATTCCAATCCACTCCATTCCATTCCATCCCATTCAATTCCATTCCTTTCCATTCCGTTCCTTTCCACTCCATTCCATACCAATCCTTTCCAATCCACTCCATTCCTCTGAAATCCACTCCATTCTACTCCACTCCATTCCACACCACTACATTCGAGTCAACTCCATACCATTCCAATCCACTCTTTTCAATTCCAATCCATTCCGTTCCATTCCATTCCATTCCACTTCACTCAATTCCATTTAACCGCATTCCACTCCACTCCAGTACACTCTTCTCCACTCCACTCCATTGCATTCCATTCCACTCCACTCCATTGCACTCTTCTCCCCTCCACTGCACTGAACTCCAGTCCATTCCAATCCATTCTCTTCCATTTCATTCCACTCCATTCCATTCCACTCCATTCCATTCCATTAAATTCCATTCCATTCCCTTCCACTCCACTCCACTCTACACCACTCCACTCCAATCCATTCCAGTCCACTCCATTCCATTCCTTTCCATTCCAATCCACTCCACTCCTTTCCACTCCACTCTTCTCCACTCCAATCCACTGTACTCAACTCCACTCCATTCCATTCCAGTTCACTCCATTCCTTTCCATTCCATTCCACTCCACTCCACTCCTTTCCACTCCTCTCTACTCCACTACTTTCTATTCCTCTCCATTCCACTCAATTTGACTCCACTCAATTCCACTCCACTCCATTCCACTCCACTAAATTTCACTCCACTCCACTCCACTCCATTCCACTCTGCTCCAATCCATTCCATTCAACACCACTCCACTCCATTCCATTCCATTTCACTGCACTCCACTCCATTCCATTGCACACTGCTTCATTCAACTCCACTCTTCTCCATTCCAGTCTACTCCATTCAACTCCACACCATTCCACTCTACTCCACGCCATTCCACTCCACTCCACTACACTACATTGCATTCCATTCCATTCCATTCCTCTCCATTCCATTCAACTCCACTCTGTTCCATTTCAGTCTACACAATTCCACTCCCTTCCAGTCCACTCCACTCCATTCCATTCCCCTCCACTCCTTTCCATTCCAATCCATTCCATTCCATTCCAATACACTGCATTGCCTTCCATTTCATTCAATTCCATTCCTTTCCACTCCATTCCGTTCCATACCACTGCACTCCACTCCACTCTATTCCAGTCCACCCCACTCCACTCAACTCCAATCCATTTCATTCCATTCAATTCCATTCCATTCTTTTCCATTCCACTCCATGCCATAACACTCCATTCCACTGCCTTGCATTCCAGTCTATTTCATTCCATTCCACTGCAATCCATTACATTCCACTCCATTCCAATCCACTCCTCTCCATTCCACTCTGCTCCACCTCATTCCATTCCTTTCCAATATATTCCTTTCCACTCCACTCCATTCTATTCCACTCCACACCTTTCCATGCCTTTCCATTCCTCTCTTTCCGTTCAATTCCACTCAACTGTATTCCATTCCACTCCACTCCACTATATTCCACACCATTCCAATCCAATCTATTGCATTCCAATGCTTTCCACTCCACTCCACTCCACTCCATTCCATTCCACTCCACTCTACTCCACTTCACTCCATTCCATTCCACTCCACTCCTTATCATTCCACTCCACTCCATTCCATTAGAATGCATTCCTTTCCATTCCATTCCATTCATTCCCTTCTTAATCATTCCACTCCACTCCACTCCACTCCACTCCACTCCATTCCACTCCACTGCATTCCTTTCCATTCCATACACTCCATTTCTTTGCTCTACACTCCATTCCTCTCCATTCCAGTCCACTCCACTCCAATACACTCAACTCCATTCCATTCCATTCCACTGCACTCCATTCCATTGCACTCCACTCCTCTCCATTGCACTCCGTTCCACTCCATTCCAATACATTGCATTCCATTCCACTCAACTCCACTCCATTGCATTCCATTCCATTCCACGCCACTCCTTTACATTACACTCCTCTCCAATGAATTCCAATCCATTCCCTTCCATTACACTCCACGTTATTCCATTCCATCCCACCATTTCGTTCCAATCTACTCCACTCCATTCCATTCCACTCCACTCCAATCAACTATACTCCGTTACACTCCACTCCACTCAATTCGACTCCATTCCATTCCGTTCAATTCCACTCTACTCCATTCCACTCCAACGCACTCCATTCCTGTGCACTCCATTCCATTCCATCCCATTCGATTCCACTCCATTCTTTCCATTACAATCCATTCCATACCATTCCATTCCAGCCCAATCCGTTTCTCTCCACTCCACTCCATTCTACTCCCCTCCATTCCACTCCACTCCACTCAATTCCAGTCCACTCCATTCCATTCCACTCAAATCCATTCTACTCCTGTCCATTCTATTCCATTGCATTGCATTCCACTTCACTCAATTCCATTCAACACTTTTCCACTCCACTCCAGTACACCCTTCCTCACTCCACTCCATTCCATTCCACTTCACTCCATTCCACTCCACTGCACTGCACTCCACTCCAATTCAGTCCATTCCAATCCATTCTCTTCCATTCCATTCCACTCCATTCCATTGTACATCATTCCATTCGATTCCATTCCATTCCATTCCATTTCACTGCATTTAACTGCACTCCATTCAATTCCACTGCATTCCACTCCACTACACTCCTTTCCATTCCATTAAATTCGATTCCACTCCCCTCCACTCTGCTCCACTCCACTCCATTCCACTCGTTTCCATTAAACTCCTCTCCACTTCACTAGACTCTACTCCCCTACACTCCATTACATTACACTCTATGCTACTCCATTGCATTCCATTTCATTCCATTCCATTCCATTCCATCCTACATCACTCCATTCCATTCCATTCCATTCCATTCCACTCCATTCCATTCCACTCCATTCTGTTCCATTCATTTAAACTCCATTATTCTCCACCACTTTCCATTCCAATACACTTCATAGAACTCCACTCCATTCCATTCACCTCCATTCCATTAAACTCTACTACACTGCATTCCAGTCTACTCTACTCCATTCCTTTCCACACCGGTCCATTCCATTCCACTCCACTCCATTCCGCTTCACTACACTCCCCTCTACTCCACTTGACTCCATTCCTTTCCACTCTACTCCACTCTATTCGGCTCCATTCCAATCCACTCCAAACCATTACATTCTACTCCTCTCCCCTCAATTCCATTCCATTCTTTACCATTCCATTCCATTCCATTCCACTCCATTCCATTCCACTCCAATCCAAACCACTCCATTCCGCTTCACTCCGTTCCATTCCATTCCACTCCATTCCATTCCACTCCAATCCAAACCACTCCATTCCGCTTCACTCCGTTCCATTCCATTCCATTGCATTACACTCCATTCCATTTCATTCCTCTCCACTCCATTCCTTTCCACTCCACTCTACTCCATTCCATTCCATTCCACTCCACTCTACTCCATTCCACTCCTTTCCATTGCATTCCACTCCAGTCCATTCCACTATACTCCACTTCACTCCTTTCCACTCCATTATATTTGTCTACACCCCACTCCACTCTCGTCCACTGCAGTCCACTCCATTCTACTCCACTCCACTCCATTCCTTTCCACTCCACCCCATTCCACTCCATTCCACTGCAATCCACTCCACTCCAATCCACTACACTCCACTCCATTCAACTCCACTCCTATCCAATCGATTCATTTCCATTCAAATACTTTCCACTCTATTCCATTCCACTCCATACCATTCCATTCCTCTTCTTTACACTCCACTCCACTCCATTCCACTCCATGCCATTCCACTCTGCTCCACTCCATTCCACTTCACTCCTTTCCATTCCACTCCATTCGTTTCCGTTCATTTCCACTCCATTCCATTCTATGCCATTCCATTCCACTCTACTTCTTTCCACTCCACTCTAGTGCATTCAACTCTGTTCCATTCCAATCCATTCCATTCCACTCCATAACTCTCCATTCCACTCTATTCCATTCGATGCCACTCCACTTCACTCCACTTCCTTCCATTCCATTCCATTCCATTCCACTGCACTCCACTCCCCTCTTTACATTAAATTAAATTCCAATCCATTGCACTCCACTCCTTTCTACTCCACTCCACTCTATTCAAATCCACTCCTTTCCATTTCATTCCACTCCACTCCATTCCACTCCACTCCACCCGACTCCACTACACTGCACTCCCTTCTATTCCATTCCATTCCATTCCATTCCATTCCACTCGAATCCACTCCTCTCCACACCACTCCACTCCATTCCTTTCCACTCCATTCCATTCCTTTGCAATCCACACCATTCCATTCTACTTTACTCCATCCCATTCCTTTCCACTCCATTCCATTCCTTTGCAATCCACACCATGCCATTCTACTTCACTCCATCCCATTCCATTCCACTCCATTCCATTCAATTCAATTCCATTCGATTCGACTCCACTCCACTCCATTCCAATCCACTCCTTTCCATTCCATCCCACTCCATTCTTTGCCATTCCTTTCCAATCCATTTCATTCCATTCCACCTCAATCTTCTTCACTCCACTCCATTACATTCCAATACACTCCAGTCCTCTCCAATGCATTCCAAACTATTCCACTACAGTCCATTCCAGTCACTCCACTCTATTCAATTCCAATGCACTCCATTCCATTTCACTCCTTTCCATTCCATTCCATTCCATTCTATTACATTCCACTCTTTTCCATTCCTTTACATTCCATTCCACTCCACTTCACTCCATTCCACTCTACTCCACTACGTTATAGTCCACTCCACTTCGTTCCACTACACTCGAGAGCACTCCATTTCACTCGAATCCATTCCATTTCATTCAATTCCACTCCTCTCCACTCCTTTCAATTCCATTCCATTCCAGTACGCTCCATTGCAATCCAATACATTCCATCCCACTTCCGTCCACACCACTCAACTCCATTCCATTCCACTTCACTCCACTCCATCCCATTCCACTCCAATCCACTCCAATCCACTCCACTCCATTACACTCCATTCCATTCCACTCCACTCCTCTATACTCCATTCCATTCCATTCCATTACACTCCACTCCACTCCCCTCCACTCCATTCCAGTCCACTCCATTCCATTTCATTCCACTCTGCTCTACTCCACTCCAGTCACCTCCATTCCACTCCATTGCATTCCATTCCAATCCATTCAATTGCACTCCTCCGCATTCAACTCGACTCCACTCCACTCACCTCCACTCAATTCCATTTCATTCCACTGCACTCCATTCTTCTCCCCTGTACTCCATTCCACTCCACTCCATTCCATTCAACTCCACTGCACTCAATTCCACTCCATTCCACTCCATTCCTTTCCATTCCTCTTCATTCCACTCCACTCCATTTCGCTCCACTGAATTGCATTCCACAACACTACAATCCATTCCACTCCATTCCAGTACTATCCATTCCATTCCTCTCCAAATCTTTCCATTCCCCTCCTATATACTCCACTCCACTCCATTGCATTATATTCTAATAAACTCCACTGCACTCCAGTTCACACCATTCTACTCAGCTCCAGTCCATTCCATTCCACTCCACTCCATTCTACTCCACTCCAGTCCATTAGACCCCACTCCTTTCCATTGTGTTCCACTTCATTCAATTCCATTCCACTCCACTGCACTCCACTCCACTCCATTAAACTCCTCTTCATTCCACTCCAATCCATTCAATTCCTTTCCATTCCATTCTAATCCATTCCTTTCCACTCCGCTCCATTCCATTCCACTCCACTGCATTCCAATCTATTCCACTCCATTCCATTCCATTCCATTCCACTCCATTCCTCTCCATTCCATTCCATTCCATTCCATTCCATTCCATTCCACTCCACCATAATCCATTCCATTCCATTCCACTCCATTCCACTCTACTGAACTCCACTCAGTTCCACTCTGTTTCACTCCGTTGCGTTCCGTTCAATTCCACTCCACTCCACTCCATTCCATTCCATTACACTCCACTCCACAACCCTCCACTCTATTCCACTCCACTCCATTCCACTTCACTCCACTCTACTCCATTCCATTCCATTGAACTCCACTCGACTCCACTCCATTCCATTGTACTTCATTCCCTTGTATTCCACTCCACTCCACTCCATTCCAATCCACTCCATTCCACTCCACTCCATTCCACTCCACTCTAATCCATTCCATTCAATTCCACTCAATTCCTTTCCACTCCACTCCATTTCATTCCACTCCAATCCATTCTCATTCATTCCACTGCATTCCATTCCACTAGACTCCACTCTACTCCATTTCACTCCATTCAACTCCACGCCATTTCACTCCAATCCATTCCATTCCATTCCACTCGTCTCTGTTTTATTCCATTCCTTTCCACTCTATTCCATTCCACTCCACTCCACACCACTCCATCCCACTTCAGTCCATTCCATTCCATTCCATTGCATTACACTTCATTCCTTTCCATTCCACTCCACTCCATTCCATTCCACTCCAGTCCACTACATTCCCTTCCACTCCAATCTACTCCATTCCACTCCATTCCACTCCATTCCGTTCCATTACACTCCACTCCATTCCACTGTACTCCAGTTCATTCCACTCCATTCCATTACTTTTCACTACACTGCACTCCACTCCAGTCCACTGCAGCCCACTCCATTCTACTCCAGTCCACTCCTTTCCGTTCCACTCCACTCCATTCCACTCCACTCTTTTCCATTCGACTCCACTACATTCATCTCTATTCCATTCCACTCCATTCCATTCCACTCCACTTCATTGCACTCCACTCCACTGCATTCCACTCCATTCCATTCTACTCCACTCCACTCCATTCCCCTACAGTCCTTTTCAATCCACTCCATTCCATTCCATTCATTTGCACTCCATTCCATTCTATTCCATTCATTTGCACTCCATTCCATTCCAAGCCATTCCACTCCTCTAAACACCATTCCATTCTGCTCCACTCCATTCCACTCCATTCCATTCAAATCCATTCCATTCCACTCCATTCCCTTCCACTCCATTCCACTACATTCCACTCCATCCCATTCCACGCCTCTCCAAGTCCATTCCATTCCACTGCACTCCTCTCCACTCCTCTCTTTCCATTAAATTAAATTCCATTGTGTTCCCCTCCACTCCACACCATTCCAGTCCACTCCACTCCTTTCCACTGCTTTCCATTCCATTCCAATCCATTCCAATCCACTCAACTCCATTCCACTCTTTTCCATTACAATCCACTCCTCTCCACTCCACTCCACTCCACTCCACTCCACTCCACTCCATTCCATTCAACTCCATTCCATTCGATTCCATTTCTCTCCTTTCCACTCCATTCCATTCCATTCCTTTCCTCTCCATTCCCTCCAGGGCAATCCATTCCACTGCATTCCACTCCTTTCCAATCCATTCCACTCCATTCCATTTCACTCCACTCCATTCCACTCCACTCCACCCTACTCCATTACATTTAATTTCACTTCATTCCATTACATGCCCCTTGTCTCCATTCCATTCCATTCCATCGCACTCCACTTCACTCCACAACAATATACTCCAATCCATTTAATTCCATTCCTTTCCAATCCACTCCATTCCATTGCATTCCACCCAAATCAATTCCATCAACTGCATTCCATTTTATTCCAAATCCCTCCTTTCAATTGCACTCCAGCCTATTCCATTCCAATCCACTCCTTTCCATTACATTGTATTCCATTCCATTCAATTCCTTTCCATTCCATTCCATTCCGTTCTATTCTATTCCATTCCATTCCATTCCATTCCATTCCATTCCATTCCATTCTATTCTACTCCATTCCATTCCATTCCACTCCACTCAAGTCCATTCCACTCTACTATATTCCAGTCCAAATTATTACATTGCATTCCATTATACTGAATTACATTCCACTTCACATCATTCCATGACACTGCTCTGCATTCCACTCCATTCCTCTCCTGTACATACCATTACATTCCACTCCACTCCATTCCATTCCACACCTCTCGTTTCCACTCGATTACACTTCCTTCCACTTCTATCCACTCCAGTCCACTCCACTCCACTCCATTCCATTCCATTCCATTAAACTGCATTCCACTCCACTCCACTCCACTCCATTCCATTCCATTCCAATCAAATCCATTCCAGTCCTTTCTATTCCTTTCCACTCCACTCCATTCATTTCCACTCCACTCCATTCCGCTTTATTCCATGCCATTCCACTCCATACCACTCCACTCCATTCCAATGCACTCCATTCCACTCCACTCCATTCCATTTTACTAAACTCTACTCCATTCCACTCAAATCCATTCCATTCCACTGCACTCCGTTCCATCCCATTCCGCTCCACTCCACTCCATTCCATTCCATTCCATTCCATTCCATTCCATTCCTTTCCACTCCACAGCACTCTATTACATTCCATTTCATTCCACTCCACTCCACTCCATTCCACTTCACTCCACTATGTTTCATTCCATTCCAATCCATTCCACAACACTCCTGTCCATTACATTCCACTCCACTCCATTAAATTAAATCCTCTCTATTCCATTCCATTCCATTCCCTTCCTATCCATTCCTGTACATTCCATTCCATTCCGTTCCACTCCACTCCACTCCACTCCATTGCACTCCACTCCATTCCCATCCTGTTCAATCCTCTCCACTCCACTACAGTTGACTCCACTCCACTCCATTCCACTCCATTCCACTAAATTCCACTCAACTCCATTCCTTTCCACTCCAATCCACGCCATTCCACTCCATATTACTCTTCTCAATTCAATTCCTCTCCACTCATTTCTATTGCATTCCACTCCACGCCATTCCACTCCAATACGTTCCAATCCATTCCACTCGACTCCATTCCACTGCACTCCATTCCACTCCCCTCCACTCCAATCCACTACTTTCCCTTCCACTCCTCTCCACTCTACACTAGTCCATTCAATTCCATTCTATTCCATTCCAATCCAATCCATTCCATTCAACACCACTCCAGTCCATTACACAACACTACATTACATTCCACTCCATCCACTCCATTCTATTCCATTCCAGTCCATTCCATTGTCCTCAACTCCTTTCCACTTCACTCCATTCCATTCCACTCCATTCCACTACTCTCTACTCCATTCCACTATAATCCTCTACACTCCATTCCACTCTACCCCACTCCTCTGCTTTCCATGGCACTCCACTCCACTCCACTCCATTGAATTTCATTCCATTCCACTAAATTGCACTTCATCACAATCCTTTCCATTCCATTCCACTCCATTCCATTCCATTCCATTCCCTTCCATTCCATTCCATTCCTTTCCATACAATTCCATTCCATTCCACTGCACTCCATTCCAGTCCATTCCACACCTTTCCCTTTGATTCCACTCCATTTCATTACACTCCACTCCATTCCACTCTAATCCATTCCATTTCATTTCACTCCACTCCATTGCATCCCACTGGTCTGCATTCCATTCCATTCCTTTGCACTCCACTCCACTCCACTCCAATCCATTTCATTCATTTCCATTCCAATCCACTCCATTCCATTCCATTCCATTTCATTCCTTTCCATTCCATTCCGTTTCGTTCAGTTCCATTCCATTCAATTCCATTCCATTCCATTCCCTTCCATTGCATTCCATTCCATTCCACTGCTTTCCATTCCACTCCACTCCTTTCCATTACGCTCCATTCCATTCCAGTCCATTTTATTCCATTCCACTCCATTCCATCCCACTACACACCAATCCATCCGACTCCACTCAATTCCATTCCATTCCACTCCATTCCATTCTTTTTCACTGCACTCCATTTTATTCAACTGCACTTCATTCCATTCCACTCCATCCCATTCTATTCCAATCCTTTCCATTCCATTTTGTTCCATTGCATTCCATTCCTTTTCACTCCGCGTCATTCCGTTCCTTTCCATTCCATTGAATTCCATTCCACTCCACTCCACTACATTCTACTCCACTAAATTCCAATCCATTTCATTCCATTCCATTCTATTCTGCTGCATTACATTCCACTCCTCTTCATTCCATTCTATTCCATTCCAGTCCATTCCACTCCATTCCATTCTACTCCATTTCATTGCTTTCCAGTCTATTCAATTCCACTCGATGCCGCTGCATTCTACGTGATTCGATTCTATTACACTCCATTCTATTTCTCTCCACTCCACTCCCCTGCAATCTATTCCACTCCACTCCACTCCACTCCACTCAAATCCAGTCCACTCCATTCCATTCCATTCCACTCCATTCCATTCCATTCCATTCCACTCCATTCCATTGCATTCCTTTCCACTCCTTTAAATTGCATTCCATTCCATTAAATTCCATTCGATTCCATTGTTCTCCATTCTATTCCATTTAACTCCATTCGTTTTGATTCCTTTCGATTCGTATCCATTCCATTCCATTCTAATCCCCTCCATTCCATTCTACTGCACGCCACTCCATTCCACTCCACTCCATTCAATTCGATTCCAATATATTCCATTCCACTCAACTCCATTCCACTCCACTTCATTCCACTCCACTCCACACCACTACATTCCACTGCACTGCACTCCCCCCTTCCTCTCAAACCAACTCCACTCCATTCCATTCCACTCCAAACTGTTCGACGCAACTCCAATCCCTTCCATGCCACTCCTTTCCATTCCATTCCATTCCATTCCATTCCATTCCATTCCACACCATTCCATTCAACTCAATTCCACTAACTTCCTCACCTATCCACTCCAGTACACTACACTAAATTCCATTCCATTCCATTCCGATCCATTTCATTCCACGGCAATACATTCCACTCCATTCCATTCCATTCCATTCCATTCCATTCCATCCCATTCCACTCCACTACGTTCCACTCCACTCTACTCCATTCCATTCTATTTCATTCCATTCCATTCCATTCCATTCCATTACGTTCCACTCCATTCTATTCCATTCCAATGCATTCCACTCCATTCCTTTCCATTCCACTCCATTCGATTCCATTCCATTCGATTCCATTCCATTCCACTCCATTCCACTCCATTCCATTCGGTTTTATTCCACTCCATTCCATTGTACTCCATTCCATTCCATTCCACTCCACTCCTTTCCACTCCACTCCATTACATTCCAATCCAATCCATCCCATTCCATTCCACTCCATTCCAGTCCATTCCACTCCATACCATTCCGTTCTATTCCATTACATTCCATTCAATAATTCCATTTCTCTCTGCTCCATTCCATTCAACTCCATTCCATTCCTGTCCACTCCACTCCATTACATACCAATCGACTCCATTCCATCGCATTCCAGTGCATTCTATTCTATTCCACACCAGTCCACTCCATTCCACCCAACTCAACTCCATTCCACTGCATTACAATCCATTCCCATCTATTCCATTCCACTCCACACCTTTCCACTCCACTTCATTCCACTCCACTAAACCACACACCCCTCCATTCCACGACACTCCACTTCACTCCATTCCTCTCTACTCCACTCCTCTGCATTCCATTTCATTCCAAATCTCTTGATTCCAATCCATTCCATGCCACTCCATTCCATTTCTTTCCATTCATTCCACTCCATTCCACTCCAAACCATTCAATTCCTCCCCACTCCATTACACTCGATTTCACTCCATTCCACTCCTGTCCACTCCAGTCCACTCCACTTAATTCCATTCCATTCCATTCCTTTCCATTCCATTCCATTCCACTCCATTATATTCCATTCCATTGCATTCCATTCCATTGCACTGCATTCCATTCCAATCCATTCCAAACAACTCGACTACATTCCACTCCACTACATTCCAATTACTACTTTCCATTTCATTCCACTGTACACCATTACATTCCACTCCACTACATTCCAATTACTACTTTCCATTTCATTCCACTGTACACCATTACATTCCACTCCACTTCATTCCATTCCTGTCCTCTCCACTCCATTCCATTCCCCTCAGCTCCACTCCACTCCACTCCACTTCACTCTACTCCAGTCCATGCCGTGGCATTCCATTCCAATCCATTCTATTCCATTCCACTCCATTCTATTCCATTCCTGTCCACTCCACTCAATTCCACTCCATTGCACTCCATTCTAAATCCCATTCCGTTGAAGTCCATTCCATTTCTCTCCTCTCCACTCTACTGCACTCCAGTCCTATCCATTCCACTCCATTCCATTGTATTCCACTCCACTCCATTCCATGAAAGTCCATTCCATTCCATTCCAATGCATTCCATCCCTTTCCATTCCATTCCATTCTAGTCCATTCTACTCCATACCATTCCATTCAATTTTATTTCCTTCCATTTTATTTCACTTCATTCCATTCCTCTCCAGTCCACTGCATTCCACTCCACTGAATTTCACTCCATTTCACTCCATTCCATTCCATTCCATTCCATTCCATAACATTACACTCCACCCCACTGCGCTCAAATCCACTCCATTATGTTCAACTCTATTCCATTACATTCCACTCCTCTCCATTCCACTCCGTTTCATTTCGTTCCACTCCACTCAACTGCATTCCAATCCATTCCATTCCATTTCACTCCACTTTACTCCATTCGATTCCTTTACATTCCATTCTGTTCCACTCCATTGCACTCCCATCCTTTCCATTCCATTCCACTCCATTCCATTCCATTCCATTCCAGTCCATGCCACTCTACTCAATTCCACTCCATTCCACACCATTTCCTTCCATTCCACTCCACTCCATTCCATTCCATTCCATTCCATTCCATTCCATTCCATTCCATTCCATTCCATTCCATTTTTCTCCACTTTTCTCCATTCCACTACCCGCCATTCCGTTCCTCTCCATTCCTTTCCATTCCATTCCCCTGCTATGCACTCCACTTCACTCCATTCCATTCCATTCCATTCCTTTCCATTCCATTCCATTCCATTCCATTCCATTCCATTCCATTCCAGTCCTCTCCATTCTATTCCAATCCTCTCTGTTCAATACCACTCCACTGCATTCCAAATTATTCCATGCCATTCCACTTCATACCATGCCACTACATTCCGTTCCTCTCCATTGCACTCCATTCCACTCCATTACGATGAACTCCACTCCATTCCACTCCAATCCATTCCAATTCCATCCACTCCATTCCATTCAATTCCCGTCTACTCCATTCCATTCCATTCCAATGCAATCCATTCCGTTGTATTCCATTCCATTATGTTCCATTGGATTCAATTCCCTCCCATTCCATTCCACTTTATTTCACTCAACTCTACTAAAATCCTCTCCACTCCAATATATTCCACTCCATTGCACTGCATTCCTTTCCATTCCACTCCGTGTTTCTCCACTCTTCTCCATTACACTCCACTCCACTCCATTCCATTCCTCTCCATTTCTTTCATTTCCATTCCCTTAGATTCCATTCCATTCCTTTCTATTGCATTCCACTGCATTTCACTCCTTTCCACTCCATTCTACTCAACTTCATTCCATTCCACTTTAATCCACTCCATTCCACTTCACTCCACTCCTCTCAATTCCATTCCACTCCACTTTATTCCATTACGTTCTACTACTCTCCATTCCACTCCACTCCATTCCATTCCTTTCCATTCCAATCCATTCCATTCCACTCGACTCCATTCCACTCCACTCCACTCCATTCCACTCCACTCCACTCCACTCCTTTTCCCTCCACTCCACTCCATTCTAGTCCATTCCACTCTAGTCAATTCCATTCCATTCCAATCCAGTCCATTCCATTACACAACGCTACACTCCATTCCACACTATTCAACTCCTTTCCACTCCTTTCCAATTCACTCCATTCACTTCCAGTCCAGTCCACTACACTCCACTCCATTTCCCTCCACTCCACTCCATTCCACTCAACTCCTTTCCATTCCAGTCCATTCCATTCCACTCGACTCCATTCCACTCCACTGCGCTCCACTCAACTCCACTCCACTCCCTTACACAACACTCCCCTCCTCTCCATTCCACTGTACTCCATTCCACTCCACTGCGCTCCACTCTACTCCACTCCACTCCATTACACAACACTCCCCTCCTCTCCATTCCACTCTACTCCATTCCACTCCACTCCATTCCACTCCATTCCATTGCCCTCCACTCCACTCCACTCCAATCAATTCCATTCCACTCCATTCCATTCCATTCCATTCCACTCCATTCCACTCCATTCCATTCCATTCCATTCTTCTCCATTCCACTCCACAGCACTCTATTGCACTCCATTCCCTCCTTTCAATTCCTTTCTACTCCATTCCATTCCACACCACTCCATTCCATTCCATTCCACTCTACTCCATTCAATTTCATTTCACTCCACTCCATTCCATCCCACTTGTCTGCATTCCACTCCATTCCATTGATCTCCACTCCACTCCACTCTACTCCACTCCACTCTAATCCATTTCATTCCATTTCATTCCAATCAACTCCATTCCATTCAATTCCATTCCACTACATTCCATTCAATTCCATTCGATTCCTTTCCTTTGCTTTCCATTTCGTTTTATTCCATTCCACTCCATTCCATTCAACTCCCCTCACTAGCATTGCACTCCACTCCTTTCCAAACTACTCCACTCCACTCCATTCCACTGGACTCCATTTTATTCCACTCCACTCCATTCCGTTCCACCCCATTCGATTCCATTCCAGTCCACTCCATTTCATTACACTGTATTCCATTCCATTCCACTCTACTACACTCCTTTCCACTCCGCTCCATTCTAATCCACTTCATTCCTTTCCGTTGCATTCTACTCCATTACATTCCAGTTCACATCATTCCGTTGCACTGCTCCCCATTGAACTCCGTTCCACTCCACTCCATTCCGTTCCATTCCACTACACTCTATTCCATTATACACCACGCCTTTCCCATCGATTCCATGACCTTCTACTCCAGTCCACTCCAGTCCACTCCACTGCATATCATTCAATTCGATGCCACTCCATTCCCTTCCATTCCATTACACTCCACTCTATTCCATTCCATTCCACTCCACTCCATTCCACTCTATTCCATTCCAATCCACTCCACTACATTCCACTCCACTCATTTCCAATCCACTTCATTCCACTCCATTCCATTCTACTCCATTACATTGCACTCCAATTGATTCCATTCCACTACTCGCCATCCCACTCCATTCCATTCTCCTTAACTCCACTCTAATCCACTCCACTTCACTGCACTCCACTCCATGACATTCCATTGAAATGCATTCTACTCCATTCCATTACGTTCCAATCCACCCCATTCCATTCTTCTCCACTCCACAGCATTACACTCCATTCCACTCCACTCTACTTCATTACATTGCATTCTATTACATTCTATTCCATTCCATTCCACTCCATTCCACTCCACTCTGCTCCATTACTCTCCACTCCATTGCATTCCATTCCATTCCCCTCTGTTCCTTTCCATTTTATTCCATTCCATTCCATTCAATTCCATTCCATTCCATTCCATTCTACTCCACTCCACTACATTCCACTCCACTCCACTCAATTTCACGCCACTCCACTCAATTCCACTCCACTCCTTTCCATTCCACTCCCCTCCCATCCACTCCCCTCCTCTCCATTCCAGTCCACTCCATTCCATTCCAGTCCACTCCACCACTCTCCACTCCATTCCATTCCACTTCATTCCATTTATTCCACTCCACTCTCCTCCAGTCCGTTACACTCCATTCCACTCCATTCCATTCCATCCCAATCCTCTCCAGTCCTCTCCATTCCATTCCATTCCATTCCACTCCACTCCACTGTACTGAATTGCATTCCAGTCCACTACACTCCATTCAACTCCAGTCCACACCATTCCATTTCACTCCATTCTATTCCATTCACTCCACTCCACTCCTTTACATTCCATTACACTACATTACATTCTATTCTTGCCATTCCACTCTACTCCAGTAAATTCCATTCCATTCCACTCCATTATATTCCATTCCATTTCACTCCATTATATTCCATTCCACTCCACTCCACTCCAGTAAATTCCTTTACCCTCCACTCCATTCCACTCCACTCCTTTCCATTCCTGTCTCCACTCCACTCTTTTGCACTCCACTATCCTCCATTCCATTTCATTCCACTCCATCCCATTAGCTTACTCTCCACTCCACTTCAATCCATTCCACTCCATCCCACTCCATTCCACTCCACTCAATTCCATTCCTGTCCTCTCCACTCCATTCCACTACTCTCCACTCCATTCCACTCCCTCAATTCCATTCCTGTCCTCTCCACTCCATTCCACTACTCTCCACTCCATTCCATTTCACACCACTCCTTTCCATTCCATTACATTCCATTCCACTCCACTCCACAGCAATCTACTCCATTCCATTCCATTCCACTCCACTCCACAGCACTCTACTCCATTCCACTACTTCGCAATCCATTCCACTCCTGTCCCCTCCATTCCAATCCACTACACTCCGTTCTAATCCACTCCATTCCATTCCACTCCATTCCACTCCACTGCAATTTATTCCACTACACTCCAATATTTTCCACTCCAATCCATTGCATATCACTCCACTCTGTTCCATTCGTTTCCTTTCCATTCCATTGCATTCATTTCCGTTCCATTCCATTCAATTCCATTCCATTCCAGTCCATTCCATTCCACTCCATTCCATTCCATTCCACTCCACTCAATTACATTCCACTCCTCTCCACTCAATTCCACTCCATTCTACTGCAATTCATTCCATTGCACTCCATTCCCTTTCATTCCAGTCCATTCCACTTCACTCAACTCCATTCCACTCCAATCCATTCCAGTCCACTCCACTCCACTCCATTTCCCTCCACTACACTCTATTCCACTGCATTCCACTCCATTCCACTCAACTCCTTTCCACTCAACTCTACTCCAATCCAGTACATTCCACTCCAATCCACCACTCTCAGTTCCATTCCACTCTTCTCGATTCCACTCCACTCCACTCCACTCCATTCCATTTCATTTCACTCCACTCCGTACCATAACACTGATCTCCATTCCAATACATTCCATTGGAATACACTCCAATTCACACGGCTGTACTCCAATCCATTCCATTCCATTCCATTCCATTGTACTCCATTCCTTTTCATTCCATTCAATTACATTACATTTCATTACATACCATTCCATTCCACCCCATTTCATTCTGCTCCACTCAATACCATTCCAATCCACTCCATTCCACAGTGTTCCACTCTGATCCATTCCAATCCAATCCATTCCATTACAATTCATTGCATTCCATTACACTGCACTACATTTTATTCCACTCCACTCCATTCCATTAAAAACCATTCCATTCGATTCCATTCCACTCGATTCCACTCCATTCCATTCCATTCCATTCCCCTCCATTACATTCCACTTCACATCGTTCCATTCCACTGCTCTCCATTGCACTCCATTGCAATCCACTTTATTCCACTCCACTGGTATCCAATCCTCTCCATTCCACCTCATTGCATTCCATTCCATTTCATTCGATTCCATTCCATTGCACTCCACTCCATTTCATTCTATTCCAGTCCACACCATCACTTACACCCCAATCCATTCCATTCCACTCCACTCCTCTCCACTCCATTTCACTCCACTCCACTGCATTACACTCCACTCCATTTCCCTCCATTCCAATCCAATCCACTCCTTTCCATTCCGTTCCATTCCACTCCATTCCATTCCATTCCACTCCATTCCATTCCATTCCACTCCATTCCATTCCACGACACTCCACTCTTATCCATTGCACACCACTCTACTCCTATCCTTTCCAGTCCATTCTTTCCACTCCACTGCTTCCCATTCCACTCCACTCCATTCTGCTGCACTCCATTCCACTCCACTCAAGTCCACTCCACTCAACTCCACTCCATTCCATTCCACTCCACTAAACTCATCTTCAATCCCTTCCACTCTACTCCACACTATTCCACTCCATTGCATTCCACCCCACTCCATTCCATCCCACTGAACTCCACTCCATTCCATTCCACTCGAATCCATTTCACTCCACTCCACTCAATTCACTAAACTCCGTTCCACTCCACTCCACTACAGTCCCCTCCATTCCATTCGATTCGATTCCATTCCATTCCATTCCTTTCCATTCCATTCCATTCATTTCCATTCCATTGCACTGTATTCCACTCCACTCCATTCCATTCCACTCCCCTCCATTCCACTCCAATCCATTCCATTCCCCTCCACTCCTTTCCATTCCTTTCATCTCAACTCCATTCCATTCCACTAGACTCTTCTCCACTCCAATCCATTCCTCTCCATTCCGTTCCATTCCATTCCTTTTCACTCCACTCCGTTTCATTTCATTCTAGTCCACTCCATCCCTTTCCACTCCAATCCATTCCATTTTTCTCCACTCCTCTCCACTCTATTCCACTCCACTCCACTGCATTCCACTCCACTCCACTCCATTCAGCTCCATTCCTATCCAATCCACTCCACTCCATTCCATTCTATTCCACTGCACTCCATTCCATTCCACTCCACTCGTATCCATTCCACTCGATTTCATTCCACTCCACTCCTATCCATTAAACTCCAATAAATTCAACTACACTCCATTCCTGCCCACTCCAGTCCACTCCAGTCCACTCCAGTTCACTCCACTCTATTCCATTCCATTCCATTGCACTCTATTCCACTCCACTCCATTGCACTACACTCTAGTCCACTCCTCTGCACTCCACTCCATTCCTCTCCATTTCACTTCATTCCATTATATTCCACCCCATTCCACTCTACTCCACTACACTACACTACTCTCCATTCCATTCCACTCTGTTCTATTCCATTGCGCTTCAGTTCATGTAATTCCACTCCACTTCATTCCGTTCCATTCCACTCTGTTCCATTTCAATCCACTCCATTCATTTCCACTCCACTGCATTCTATTCCATTCCACTCCATTTCATTCCATCCTAGGGCATTCTATTCCATTCCACTCCACTCCATTCCAATCCACTTCATTCCTCCCAACTCCCTTCCATTCCACTCCACTCCACTCCTTTCCATTTCATTCCACTCCATTCCATTCCATTCCATTCCATTCCACTCCACTCCACTCCATTCCATTTCATTCTTTTTCATTCCATTCAATTCCATTACTCCATTCCATTATTTTCCATTCTATTGCATTCCTTTGCATTCCATTGCATTCCATTCCACTCTATTGCATTCTTTCCATTACATTCTGTTCTCCTCCATTCCATTCCACTCCACTCCACTCCACTCCATTCCATTCCACTCCATTCCTTTCCTTTCCAATTCTATCCATTTTATTACACTTCACTCCATTCCTTTCCACTCCATTTCATTCCATTCCACTCCATTGCATTCCACTCCATTCCATTTAATTCCATTCCATTCCACTCCACTCCACTCCTTTCCACTCCACTCCGTTCCACTCCACTTCATTCGTTTCCATTTCGTTCCACTCCATTCCATTCCACTCCACTCCGTTACTTTCCATTCCATTCAATTCCACTACATTTCATTCCTCTGCACTCCATTGCACTCAACTCCCCTGCATTCCACTCCAATCCTTTGCAATCCACTACATTCCATTCCATTCCAGGCCACTCCATTACATTCCACTCCATTCCATTCAATTCCATTCCACTCCATTCCACTTTATTCCCCTCCACTCCATTCCATTGCACTCCACTCCATTACATTACATTCCAGGCTACTCCATTCCATCCCATTCCATTCCATTCATTTCCATTCCATTCCACTCCACCCCACTTTATTCCCCTCCAGCCCAATCCATTCCACTCCATTCCATTCCATTCCATTCCACTCCACTCCACTCCATTCCAGCCCACTCCATTCCATTCCCCCCCATTCCCTTCCATTCCACTCCACCCCACTTTATTCCCCTCCAGGCCAATCCATTCCACTCCATTCCTTTCCATTCCATTCCACTCCACTCCACTCTATTCCAGTCCACTTCATTCCATTCCCCCCATTCCATTCTATTGAACTCCTTTCCATTCCACTCCTTTCCAATCCCTTCCATTCCTTTCATCTCTAATACATTCCACTCCACTCCATTCCACTCTATTCCATTTCATTCCACAGCTCTCCACTTCACTCCTCTCCACTGCATTCCATTCCACACCACTCCACTACATTCCACCCCACTCCATTCCACTCCACTCTTCTCCATTCTATTCCACTCCATTCCATTCCATTCCACTACATTCGATTCCACTCAAATCCACTCCACTCCACTTCCTGCGTTTCCCCTACATTCCTTTCCATTCCGCTGCACTCTTTTTATTCCACTCCACTCCTTTCCTTTCCACTCCATTTCATTCTATTCCACTCTATTTCATTCCATTCCATTCCATTTAATTCCATTCCATTCCACTCCACTCCACTTCATTCCACTCCACTCCATTCCAACCACTCTATTTCACTCCACTTCATTCGATTCCATTTCCTTCCACTCCATTAAAACCGCTGCATTCCATTCCACTGCACTCCATTCCATTCCATTAAATTCCACCCCACTCCCTTCCATTCCACTCCTCTCCACTCCATTCCGTTCCACTCCACTCCATTACACTCCCCTACTTTCCACTCTACTCCATTCCATTCCACTCCACTCCATGCCATTCCTTTCCTTTCCACTCCACTAAACTCCATTCCACTACATTCAACTGCATTCCATTCCATTCCACTCCATTCCATTTAATTCCATTCCACCCCACTCCACTTTTTTCCACTCCACTCCATTCCATTCCCCTCCATTCCATTCTATTGAACTCCTTCCCATTCCACTCCTTTCCACTCTCTTCCATTCCTTTCATCTCCAATACATTCCTCTCCACTCCTTTCCGCTCTGTTCCATTTCATTCCACACCTCTCCACTTCACTCCTCTCCACTGCATTCCATTCCACACCACTCCACTATATTCCACCACACTCCATTCCACTCAACTCTTCTCCATTGCATTCCAGTCCATTGCATTTCACTCCACTCCATTCCATTCCACTCCATTCCATTCCACTCAAATCCACTCCACTCCACTTCCTTCCTTTCCACTACATTCCTTTCCATTCCACTGCACTCTTTTTATTCCACTCCACTCCATTCCTTTACACTCCATTTCATTCTATTCCACTCCATTTCATTTCATTCCATTCCGTTTAATTCCATTCCATTCCACTCCACTCCATTCCTACCACTCTATTTCACTCCACTTCATTCTATTCCATTTCCTTCCACTCCATTCCAAACCACTGCATTCCATTCCACTGCACTCCATTCCATTCCATTAAATTCCACCTCACTCCATTCCATTCCACTCCACTCCACTCCATTACACTCCTCTACATTTTACTCCACTGCATTCCATTCCACTACACTCCATACCATTCCATTCATTTCCACTCCACTAAACTCCATTCCACTCCATTCAACTGCATTCCATTCCATTCCACTCCAAACCAGTTCACTCCACTCCACTCCATTCCATTAAGTTACACTCAATTCCTTTCCACTCCACTTCATTTTATTCCACTCTACTCTATTCCATTGCTCTCCATTCCAACACATTCCTTTCCACTCCATTGCATTCCATTCCATTCCATTCCATTCCATTCCATTCGACTCCTGTGCACTCCATTTCACTCCACTCCTTTCCATTCCACTTTCTTCTTGCCATTCCTATACACTCCATTCCATTCCACGTCACTCAATTCAATTCCACTGCTCTCCTTTCCACTTCGTTAAATTCCCCTCCACTCCACTCCACTACGCTCCATTCTTTTCCATTCTATTCCATTCCATTCCATTCCATTCGACTCCATTATATTCCATTCCTTTCCACTCAACTCCATTCCATTCCACTCTTCTCCAATACATTCCACTCCATTGCACTCCATTCCATTCCACCACATTCCATTGCACTCCATTCCACTCCACTCCACTCCATTCCACTCCAATCCACTCCATTGCATTCCACTCCGTTCCACTCCATTTCATTCCACTACAATCCACTCCATTGCATTCCACTCCGTTCCACTCCCCTCATTCCACTCCAATACATTCCATTCCATTCTATTTTATTCCACTCCATTTCAATCCACTCCACTCCAATCCAATACATTCCACACCACTTCATTCCATTCCATTCCTTTTCATTCCACGTCACTACGTTACATTCCAATCCATTCCACTATATTCCATTCCATTCCAATTCACTCCACTCCATTCCCCTACATTCCATTTCACACCACTCCATTCCGTTCCACTACATTATATTCCTCTCCATTCCATTCCACTTTACTTCATTCCACTCCTCTCTGTTCCATTCCATCCCATTCCACTCCATTCCATTTCATTGCGTTTCACTCCACTCCAGTCCACTCCAATCCATTCCATTCCATTCCTTTCCATTCCACTCTACTCCATTCCATTCTACTCCACTCCTTTCCACTCCATTCCACTCCCTTAAAACTCACTCCTCTCCACTCCAACACATTCCGTTACACTCCACTCCACTTCATTCAACTCTACTCCACTCCATTCCACTCCATTCCTGTCCATTCAACTCTACTCCATTCCATTCCACTCCACTCCACTCCATTCCATTCCACTCCACTGCATTGCACACCACTCCTCTCCATTACACTCCATTCCATTCCTCTCCACTAAACTCCTCTCCATTCCACTGCACTCCACTCCACTGCAATCCATTTCACTCCGCTTCATTCAATTCCACTCCACTCCATTCCATTAGAATCCACTCCTCTCAATTCCATAAATCTCCACTCCATTCGTTTACACTCCTTTCCATTCCTCTCCAATTCATTCCATTCCCTTCCACTCCATTCCATTCCCTTCCTTTCCATTGCAATAAATTCCGTTGCATTCCTCTCCACTCTTTTCCATTACACTCCATTCCGCTCCACTCCAATTCACTCCACTTCATTCCGTTCCACCCCACTCCACTCTACTCCATTCCACTCTACTCCACACCACTCCACGCTATTCAATTCCCTTCTACTACACTCCATTCCATTCATATCCACCCCACTGCAATACACTCCACTCCATTCCACTCCACCCCATTCCACTCCACTACACTCCAGTCTTCTCCACTCCATTCCACTCCATTCCGTTACATTCAACTCCACTCCATTCCATGCCAATCCACTCCACTCCATTCCATTACACTCCACTCCTCTCCACTCCACTCCATTCCATGCCATTTCATTCCATTCCATTCCGCTCCAATCCATTCCACTCCGCTAAATTTACTTCCACTCCATTCCATTCCATTTCATTCCTTTCCATTCCATTGTATTCCACTGAATTGCATTCCATTCCATTCCATTCCACTCCACTCAACTCCATTCCACTGCACTCCATTGAACTCCACTCCATTCAACTGCATTCATTTCCTCTCCCTGCCTTTCAGTGCCGTTCCAAACTACTCCACTCCTTTCCTCTCCACTCCACTGCATTCCATTCCACTCAATTCCACTCCATTCTAATCCATTCCACTACATTCATTTCCACTCCACTACATTCACCTCGAATCCATTCCACTCCAGTCCTTTCCACTCCACTTCATTCCATTCCATTCCCTTCCAGTCCATTACTTTTCACTCCATTGTACTTTTCTCCATTCGTGTCCACTCCATGTTAGTCCACACCACTCCATTCCACTCTACTCTATTCCTTTCCAATCCACTCCAATTCTTTCCACTCCACTTCATTCCCTTCAATTCCGATCCACTGCATTCCATTCCACTCCACCCCACTCCGTTCCACTCCATTCCATTCCATTTCAATACCCTCTATTCCACTCAACTCCACTCCACTCCATTCCATTCAATTCCACTGCATTCCATTCCATTAAATTCCACTCTATTCATCTCGACTCCATTCCATTCCACTTCACTCAACTCCACTCATTCCATTCCATTCTATTCCATTCCATTCCACTTCATTCCAATCCTTTCCACTATACTTCCCTCCATTCCACTCATTAAACTCCCCTCCATTCCATTTCACAACACTCCATTCCATTTCATTCCACTCCATTACGCTGCATTCCACTCCACTCCATTCCACTTCACTCCACTGCACTACATTCAATTTCATTCCTCTCTGTTCCATTCATTTCCATTAAACTCCATTCAATTCTATTCAATACCATTCCATTCCACTCCACTCCACTCCACTCCGTTCCATTACACTCCTCTCCATTCCACTCCATTCCACTCCATTCCACTCCATTCCACTCCAATGCATTCAACTCCACTCCTTTCCATTCCACTAAACTCTATTCCATTCCATTCCATTCCTTTCCATTCCATAACACTTCATTCTATTCCATACCACTCCATTCCATTCCACTCCACTCCATTTCATTCCTCTCCACTCTTTTACAGTCCATTGCACTCCATTCCACTCCACTCCGTTCCACTCCACTCCTCTCCAATGCAATCCATTCCTCTCCATTCCATTGTATATTCCATTCCATTCCACTCAATGCATTTCATTCCATTCCAGTCCTCTCTATCCCTTCCACCCCAGTCCCTTCTATTCCACTCCACTCCTCTCCACTCTATTCCAGTCCACTCCAGTGCATTCCACTACACTGCACTCCATTACCCTCCATTCCAATCCAGTCCACTCAACTCCATTCCGTTCCATTCCACTCCATTCTATTCCATTCCACTCCACTCCTGTTCATTCCACTACATTCCATTCCACTCTACTCCTTTCCATTCCACTCCACTAAACTCCACTCTACTCCACTCCACTATTCTCCATTTCATTCATCTCCATTCCATTCCATTCCACTCCACTCCACTCCATTCCACTCCATTCTACTCCATTCCATTCCAGTCCACTCCATTCCTTTCCATTTCACTCCATTCAATTCCTTTCGTCTGCACTCCAGTTTAACCTATTACACTCCATTCCACTCTTTTCCATTCCTTTCCATTCTATTCAACTGCACTCTATTCCACTCCATTCCACTCAAATCCACTCCATCCCTCTCCACTCCAGTCAATTCCACTTCACTTCACTCCATTCCATTCCATTCCATTGTATGCCATTCCATTCCATTCCTTTCCACTCCATTCCATTTCACTGCTCGCCATTCCACTCTATTACATGTGACTCAAAACCATTCTCTCCACTCCATTTCACATCACTCCAATCTCCTCTATTCCACTCCACTGCATTCCATTACTATCGATTCCATTCCATTCCACTACACTACATTTTTTTATTCTCCACTCCACTCCATTCCATTCCATTCTATTGCACTCCACTCCATTCCACTCCCCTCCATTCCATTCCATTCCATTCCATTCCATTCCATTCCATTCCATTCCATTCCATTCCATTCCATCTCATTCGGTTGCATTCCATTGCATTCCCCTCCACTACATTTCATTCCATTCTACTCCATTCCATTCCATTCCATTCCAATGCATTCCATTCCATTTCATTCCTCTCCACTCCATTGCATTCCATTCAGTAGCATTCCCCTCCACTCCATTGCACACAACTAATATCCACTGCATTCCACTCCACTGCATTCTATTCCAATCCATTCCATTCCACTGCGCTGAATTTTATTCCAGTAGACTCCATTAAATTCCAATCTATTCCTTTCCATTCCCTGCAACTGCATTGTATTCCATTCCATTCCATTCCAATCCCTTCCATTTCATTCCATTTCATTCCATTCCATTCCAATCCCTTCCATTTCATTCCATTTCATTCCATTCCATTCCATTCCATTCCATTCCATTCCATTCCATTCCATTCCATTCCACTTCATTCCGTTCCTTTTCACTCCATTCTGTTGCATTCCACTGCACCTCAATTTATTAAACTCCACTACATTCTATTCCACTCCATTTCATTCCATTCCACTCCATTCCATTCCATTCTGCTCTATTCCATTCCATTCCATTCCACTCAATTCCCTTCCGCTTCATTCCACTCCTCTCCACTCCATCTCACTCCACTCCAATACATTCCATTCCATTCCACTCCATTCCACTCCATTCCATTTCATTCCTCTCCATTGCATTCCACTACACTCTTATCCATTGCATTCAATTCCACTCCTTTCTATTCCATTCCTCTCTGCTCCACTCCATTCCATTCCAGTCCACTCTACTCCATTCTACTCTACTCCACTCCATTCCATTTTTCTCCACACCACGCCACTACCTTTCACTCCACACGACTCCATTCCATACCACTTCATTCCATATCACTTTCTTCCACTCCACTCCATTCCACACCACTTCATTCCATATCACTTTCTTCCACTCCACTCCATTCCACTCCACTACACTCCACTCCATGCCATTCCATTCCATTCCATTCTATTCCCCACAACTCTACTCTATTCTCCACTCCACTCTACTCATCTCCATTCAATTACACATCACTCCATTCCACTCCACTCCTATCCTTTCCACTCCAATCCAATCCATTGCACTCCACTCCATTCCCTACCACTCCATTACACTCCACTACACTCCGTTCCACTCCACTCCATTCCACTACTTTCCATTGCATTGCATTGCATTCCATTCCATTCCATTCCAATCCTTTCCATTCCATTCCATTGCACAGCACTCCACTCCACTCCACTCCATTCCATTCCATTGCATTGCACTCCATTCCATTGCATTGCACTCCATTCCATTCCATTCCATTCCATTCCAATCCTTTCCTTTCCAATCCATTGCACAGCACTCCACTACACTACATTCCTTTCCATTGCATTCCAATCCATTCCATTCCATTCCATTAGAATTCCTTGCATTCCAATCCATTGCACAGCACTCCACTCCATTCCATTCCATTCCATTCCATTCCACTCCATTCCATTCATTTCCATTACTCTCCATTCCCTTCCATTCTATTCGATTCCATTCCATTCCACTCCAATCCACTCCAATCCATTCCTTTCCATTCCACTTCAATCCACTTTATTCAACTACACTCCATTCCATTCCACTCCATTTCGTTCCATTCCACTCCATTGCATTCCATTCCACTAAACTCCACTCAATTCTACTCCACTCCATTCCACTCCATTCCACTAAACTGCACTCAATTCCTCTCCACTCCATTCCAATCCACTTCATTCAATTCCATTCCATTCCACTCCATTCCATTCCATGCCTTTCACTCCATTCCATTCCACCCCAATCTACACCACTCCTCTGCATTCCACTCCACTCCATTCCATTCCATTCCAGGTCACAGCATTCCATTCCAATGCATTCCATTCCAATACACTCCAATCTATTTTATTACACTCCACTTCTCTCCATTCCACTCCAATCCATTTCACTCCACTCCACTCCTTTCCACTCCACTCCATTCCACTCCTCTCCTTTTAATTCCACCCAAATCTATTCCTTTCCATTCCACTGCATTCCATTCCACTCCATTCCTTTAGATTCCATTCCACTCCATTCCTTTCAATTACATTCCACTCAAATCCATTCCACATCACTCCACTCCATTCCATTCCACTCCATTCCACTCCACTCCACTGCACTCACTCCACTTCATTAAACTCCACTCCACTCCACTGCATTCCACCTCATTCCATTCCATTCCACTGCACAGAATTCCATTCCACTCCATTCGATTCCATTCCATTCCTCTCCATTCCATTCCACTCCTTTTCATTCCACTCCACTCCACTCTACTGCATTCGATTTTTCTCCAAAACACTCCAGTTCACTCTATTCCACTCCACTGCATTCCATTCCACTCCTTTCCACTCCAGTACGTTCCATTCTTCTTCAACACACTCCAATCCACTCTATTCCACTCCAGTCCATTTCATTCCACTCCTCTCCACTACACTCCCTTCCACTCCATTCCATCCCAAACCACTCCATTCCATTCCACTCGACTCCTTCCCACTCCAATCCCCTTCATTCCATTTCACTCCACTTCACTCCACTCCATTCCATTCCACTCCATTCCACTCCACTCCATTCCACTCCACTAAACTCCATTTCAATGCCATCCATTCCTCTCCACTCCACTCCATTCCACTCCACTCCATTCCACTCCACTAAACTCCATTACAATGCCATCCATTCCTCTCCACTCCACTACATTCCACTCCACTATATTCCACACTCTCCATTCCATGCCATTCCAGTCCATTCCATTCCTCTCCTGTCCACAAAACCCCAGTCCATTCCACTCCATTCGAATACACTCCATTCCACTCCACTCCATTTCACACCACTCCTTTCCTCTCCACTCCACTCCATTCCATACCACTCCATTACTCTCCACTCCACTCCATTCCACTCCATTCCACTCCACTCCATTCCATTCCATTACACTCCATTT
>NT_187391.1:58328-116053 GCF_000001405.40 Homo sapiens | reverse complement strand
CCTTTGCATTCCACTCTCATTCCACTCCAACCCATTCCACTCCACTAAACTCCATTACACTCCCATCCATTCCTCTCCACTCCACTACATTCTACTCCACTCCATGTCACACTCTCCATTCCATTCCACTCCTTTCCTCTGAACTCCTTTGCATTCCACTCCATTCCACACCACTCCGTTCCTTTCCACTCTACTCTATTCCACTCCACTCCATTCCACTCTACTGCATTCCATTCGATTACACTCCTTTTGATTACCAACCTCTCCATTCCACTCCACTAAACTCCATTCCACTTCACTCCATTCCACTCCGTTCCACTCCACTCCATTACATTCCATTCCATTGCACTCCATTTCGTTCTTTTCCATTCCATTCCGTTCCTTTCCATTCCATTCCATACTACTCCATTCCACTCCACTCCACTCCATTCCACTCCACTCCACTCCATTCCACTCCACTCCACTCCATTCCAATCCATTGCACTCCATTCCACTGCACTCCATTCCCTTCCATTCAAATCTACTCCATTTCATTCCTCTCCATTCCTCTCCATTCCACTCCATTCCATTGCATTCCATTCCCTTCCATTCCATTCCATTGCATTCCATTACATTCCACTCCACTCCATTTCATACGATTCCAATCCACTCCATTTCTTCCCATTCCACTCAACTCCCGTCCACTCCAATCCATTCAACGCGAGTCCAGTCTGTTACAATCTATTCCATTCAATTCCACTCCAATCCATTAAAGTCCACTCCCCTCCACTCTAGTCCTCTCCACTACATTCCATTCCACTCCACTCCATTTTATCACACTCCACTCCATTCCATTCACTCCATTCTACTCCATTCTATTCCCTCCATTCCATTCCATTCCATTTTATTCCATTCCACTCCATCCTATTCCATTTCTCTACATTCTATTCCACTGCTCTCCATTATTCTCACTTCCATTCCACTCCACTCCACTAAACTCCACTTCTATATACTCCCCTCTAATCCATTCCATTCCATTCCACTATATTCTGTTCCATTCTGCTACATTCTGTTCCATTCCACTACTTCCTTTCCAATCCACCCCACTCAATTCCACTCCACTCCATTATACTCCTTTTCATTATATTGCATTCCATTCCCTTCATTCATTTCCACTCCTCTCCATTCCATTCCACCCCACTCCCCTCTAGTCTATTCCACTCCACTCTACTCCCCCTCACTCCATTCCATTTCAATCCAATCCACTCCATTCCATTCCACTCCACTCCACTCTATTCACCTCCACTCCACTCCACTTTAAAAAATCACACACCACTCCATTCAACTACACTCCCCTCCATTCCACTCCACTCCATTCCGTACCACTCCAATCCACTCCACTCCATTACACTCTACACCATTCCATTCCACTGCACTGCATTCCATTTCATTGCTATCACCTCTATTCTATTCCACTCCACTCCACTCCATTCCACTCTACACCATTCCATTCCACTACACTGCATTCCATTTCATTGCATTCACCTCTATTCTATTCCACTGCACTCCATTCCATTGCATTGCACACCACTCTACTCCAGTCCACTCTATTCCATCCCATTTCACAGCACTCTACTCCACTCCACTCCATTCCATGCCAATCCGCTCGATTCCATTCCAATCTACTCCATTTCACTCCACTCTACTCAACTACACTCCAATCCACTCCACGCCATTCCCTTCCCTTCCACATCAGTCTAATCCAATCCATTCCATTCCATTCCACTCACCTCGATTCCATTCCACTCCACTACATTCCACTGCACTCCACTCCACTCTATTCCACTTCTCTACATTCCATTCCATTACATTCCAATCAGTTTCATTCAATTCAATTGAATACCTCTGCACTCATTTCCAGTCCACTCCACTACATTCCATTCCACTGCCCTCCATTCCAATCCACTCTGCACCATTGCTTTCCGCTCCACTTCTCTCCAATGCAGTCCAATCCACTCCATTCTATTCCACTCCACTCCATTCCATTCCCTTCCATGCCAGTGCTTTCCATTCCACTCCACTGCATTCCAGTCCACTCCATTCCTTCCCACTAAATTTTACTCCACTCCATTCCACTGCACTCCACTCCATTCCACTCCACACCTTTACATTTCACTCCACTCCATTCCATTCCTTAGAGTCCATTCCCTTCCACTCCACTTCTATCCATTCGAATCCACTCCATTGCATTCCACACTGCTCCACTCCATTACACTCCATTCCATTCCATTACCCTCCATTCCACTCCACACCTCTCTTCTCCACCACTCTCAAATCCATTCCAATCCATTGCATTGCATTCCTTTCCATTCCATTCCATTCCATTCCATTCCATTCCACTCCACTCCAATCCAGTACACTCCATTCCAATCCACTCCTATCCATTCCATTCCATTCCATGCCAACCCACTACATTCCACTCCACTATATTCCACTCAACTCCGTTCCATTCCACTCCATTGCAATCCATTCCATTCCATTCCATTCCACTTCATTCCTTTCCACTCCTATCCATTCCACTCCACTCCATTCCATTCATTCCCACGCCACTCAATTCCATTCCATTCCACTACTTTCCGTTCCATTCAATTCCTTGCCATTCCATTCCTATGCATTCCATTCCACTCCATTTCACTGCATTCCTCTCCATTCCACGCCACTCCAATCCACTCCATTCCATTCCCTTCATTTCCAATCCACTCCACTCTACTGCGTTTCATTTCATACCATTCTATTCCATTCAATTCCATTCCACTCCATTCAATTCCACTCTTTTCCATTCCACTCCAATCCACTCTACTCCTTTCCATTCCACTCCATTCCATTCCAATCCACTCCTTTTTATTCCTCTCCAATCCATTCCATTCCACTCCATTTTATTCCACTCTCTTCCATTCCATTCCATTCATCTGCATTCCATTCCATTCCATTGCATTCCATTCCACTCCACTCCACTCCACTCCATTCCATTACACTCCACTCCACTCCATTGCATTCCACTCCATTCCAATTTAGTTCAATCCACTCCATTCCATTCCACTCCATTCCACTCCACTAAACTCCAATCCATTCAACACCACTCCATTCCATTCCATTCCCTTCCACTCCACTACATTCCATTACATTCGAATCCAGTCCGTTCCGTTCCATTCCATTCCATTCCATTCCACACCACTCCATTCCATTTCTCACCACTCCATTCCACTCCACTACATTCTACTCCACTACAATCCATTCTACGCCACTACATTCCACTCCACTCCATTCATTCCATTCCATTCCACTCCATTCCATTCCATTCCACTGCATGACATTCCACTCCACTCCACTCCATTCCATTCCATTCCACTTCACTCAACTCCACTACATTCCATTCCACTCCACTGCATTCCATTATATTCGAATCCAGTCCGTTCCATTCCATTCCACTCCATTCCACACCACTCCATTCCACTCCACTACATTCTACTCCACTACAATCCATTCCACTCCACTCGATTCATTCCATTCCATTCCACTCCATTCCATTCCATTCCACTGCATTACATTCCAATCCACTCCACTCCATTCCATTCCATTCCTCTTCACTCGACTCCACTCCATTGTATTCTATTCCACTCCACTCTCTTCCTTTCCACTCCACTACATTCCATTCCATTCCAATCCACTCCATTCCATTCCATTAAATTCCATTCCAATCCATTCCATTCCATTGCACTCAACACCACTCCACTCCACTCCATTCCATTTCACACCACTCCATTCCACTCCACTTCATGCTACTCCAATAGACTCCGTTCCACTCCACTTCATTCAACTCCACTCCATTCCATTCCATTCCATTCCACTCCTTTCCATTCCATTCCATTCCACTCCACACAACTCCACTCTATTCCATTTCACCGCACTCCATTTCACTCCACTACATTCTACTCCACTACACTACATTACACTTCACTGCATTCTACTCCACTCCAGTCCATTCCATTCCACTGCATTCTATTCCATTCCACTCCATTCGACTCCACTGAATTCCACTCCACTGCATTCCATTCCATTGCATTCCAGTATACTCTATTCCAATCCACTCCTTTCCACTCCATTACACTCCATTCGAATTCACCCCACTCCGTTTAATTCCACGCCATTCTACTCCACAAGTCCACTCCATTCCAATTCACTCCTCTTTATTCCATTCCATTCCATGCCATTCCACTCCACACCATTCCACTCCCCTCTACTCCATTCCATTCCACTCCAATCCGCTCCACTACACTACGCTCCATTCCACTCCATTCCTCTCCACTCCACTCCATTGCATTCCAATCCATTCCACTCCATTTCATTCCAGTTCACTCCATTCCATTCATCTATCCACTCCATTCTATTCCTGTCCATTCCATTCCATTCCTCTCCACTCCATTTCATTCCACTCCATTCCTTTCCATTCCACTCCACTACATTCAATTCCATTCTAATCCACTCTATTCCATTCCATTGAGTTCCATTCCAGTACAGTCCATTCCATTCCACCCCACACCACTCCACTCCACTCCACTCCAATCCATTCCATTCCACACCACTTCCATTCCACTCCATTCCATTCCACTCCACTCCATTCCACTCCACTGAATTCCATTCCATTTCATTCCTGTCTACTCCTTTCCACTCCACTCCATTCCATTCCAATCCACTCCTTTCCACTCCATTATACTCCATTCGAATTCACTCCACTCCACTCAGTTTAATTCCACGCCATTCTACTCCACACCAGTCCACTCCATTCCAATTGACTCCTCTATACTCCACTCTCTTCCTTTCAATTCCACTCCACACCATTCCACTCCCCTACACTCCATTCCATTCTACTCCAGTCCGCTCCAGTACACTACGCTCCATTCAACTCCATTCCATTCCTCTCCACTCCACTCCATTGCATTCCAATCCATTCCACTCCTTTTTATTCCAGTCCACTCCATTCCATTCAGTTCCATTCCACTCCATTCCATTCCATTCCAATCCATTCCTTAGAATTCCCTTCCGCTCCATTCCATTCCACGTCATTCCTCTCCACTCCACTCCTCTCCATTACATTCCAATCCACTCCACTCCACTCCATTCCAGTCTACTCCACTCCTTTCCACTCCTTTCCATTCTATTCAACTCCAATCCAGTCCATTCTACTCCACTCCACTCCATTCCATTTCCCTCCACTCCATTGCTCTCCACTCCACTTTATTGCACTCCACTCCTTTCCATATCACTCAACTCCTCTCCACTCCACTCCACTCCATTGACTCTAATCCACTCCATTCCAATCCAATCCACTCCATTCCATTCCACTTCAGTCCATTCCTTTCCTCTATATTCTATTCCATTCCATTCCATTCCAGTCCATTCCATTTCAATCCACTCCATATCATTCCATTCTATTCCATTCCACTGCATTCCATTCCATTCC
The DNA here is from genome assembly GCF_000001405.40 of Homo sapiens. NCBI lineage: Eukaryota > Metazoa > Chordata > Mammalia > Primates > Hominidae > Homo > Homo sapiens. The sequence continues at coordinate 110,553 of NT_187391.1, read as the reverse complement.
ATTAGATTCCATTGCATTCCATTCCACTCCAATCCATTCCACTCCACTCCATTCAACTTCACTCAATTCCATTCCATTCAATTCCACTCCATTCCTTTCCATTCCACTTCACTCCACTCCTTTTCATTACAATCCATTCCAATCTATTATATTCCGCTCCATTCAATCGCAGTCCACTCCATTCCACTCCACTCCACTCCATTCCATTCCTTTTGGCTCCATTCTATTCCATTCCATTCCATTCCAATCAATTCCATTCCATTCCACTCCACTCTATTCCACTCCACTTCATTCCCCTCCACTCCAATCCACTCCACTCCATTCCATTCCACCCCACTCCATTCCATTCCACTCCATTTCATTGCATTCCACTACACTCCATTCCATTCCACTCCTCTTTCCAGTCCACTCCAGTCCATTCAACTCCACTCCATTCCACCCCACTGCAAACCACTCCACTCCATTCCATTCCATTGCATTCCATTCCATTCAAATCCACTCCACTCTATTCCACTCCATTAAATTCCATTCCTATCCGTTCCATTCCATTTCATTCCTCTCCATACCATTGCATTCCGTTGCTTTCTATTCCATTCAACTCTGCTCCATTTCACTCAACTCCATTAAATTCCACTCCATTCCATTCCACACAATTCCACTGCAATCCACTACAATCTTTTCCACTCCTATTCACTCCATTCCATTCTCCTCCATTCCATATCATTCCACTCCACTGCACTCCCATCCAATTGTGTCCACTCTATTCTACCCCAATCAATTCCATTCCATTCTTCTCCATTCCTTTCCACTCCACTCCAATCTATTACACTCCACTCAATTCCATTCCATTCCACTCCATTCCATTCCAATAAACTCCACTTACTTTCACTTCTTTTGCTCCATTGCATTCCATTCCACTCCATTCCTCTCCAATCCTTTCCACTCCATCTCCACTTCATTGCTTTCCCATCTATTCCATTCGATTCCACTTCACTCGGTTTTATTCCACCCCACTCCATTCCGCTCCACTCCATTCCAATCCATTCCATTCCACTCCATTACATTCCATTCCTTTCTGTTCCATTCTATTTGACTCCACTCCACATCATTTCATTCCACTCCATTCCATTCCACTTCATTCCATGCCATTCCATTCCACTCCATTCCATTCCTCTCCACTCCATTCAATTCCACTAATCTCCATTCCACTTCTTTAAATTCCACTCTAATCCACTGCACTCCACTACCCTTCACTCCATTCCATTCCATTCCATTCCATTCCACTCCATTTCATTCCATTCGTATCCACTACACTCCATTCTATTCCACTCCACTCCATTCCACTCCATTGCACTATATTCCATTCCATTGCACCCCATTCCATTGCACTCTTTTCCATTCCACTCCACTCCATTTTATTCCACTTCTTTCCATTACATTCCACTCCATTTCATTCCGTGGGACTCCATTCCATTCCATTTCGTTTCATGCCATTCCATTCCACTCCACTCCACTCCATTCCACTCCAGTGCATTACACTCCACTTCATTCGATTCCATTCCATTCCACTCCATTCCATTCCTCTTCACTCTCTAGCATTCCACTGTTCTCTATTCCACTCCATTCCTCTCCACTCAACTCCACTCCATTCCACTTTACTGAACCCCACTGCACTACATTCTATTCCATTCCATTCCATTGATTTCACTCCATTCCATTCCACTCTACTCCATTCCATTCCACTACGCACCATTCCATACCATTCCACTCGACTCCATTCCAGTCCACTGCTCTCCATTCCAATGCTATCCATTCCACTCCACTCCACTCCACTCCACTCCAGTCCACTCTACTCCATTCTACTCCACTCCATTCCATTCCATTCCATTCCATTACACTCCATTCCATTCCACTCCACTCCAATCCACTCCATTCCGTTTCATTATATTTCATTCCATTCATTTCAATTCCTGTCCTTTCTATTCCAATTCAATCCCTTCCATTCCATTCCGCTACACTCCACTGCAATCCATTGCATTCCACTCCATTCCATGCCCTTCCACTCCACTCCATTTTATTCCACCCAACTCCTTTCCATTAAACTCCATTCCATTCGATTCCATTCCACTCCATTACATTCCATTACTTTCTGTTCCATTCTATTCGTCTCCACTCCACTCAATTTCTCCCCACTTCATTCCATTCCACTTCATTCTATGCCATTCAACTCCACTCCATTCAATTCCAATCCACTCTTTTCAATTCCACTGCTCTCCATTCCAGTTCATTAAATTCCACTCAACTCCACTGCACTCCACTACACTACACTCCGTTCCATTCCATTCAATGCCATTCCATTCCATTCCACTCCATTCCATTCCATTCGTTTCCTCTCCACTCCTTTCCATTACACTCGACACCACTCCATTCCACTCCGTTGCACTCCATTCCCTTCCATTTCTCCCCGTTCCATTGCACTCTGTTCCATACCACTCCACTCCATTTTACTCCACTCCACTCCATTACATTCCACTCCATTCCGTTCCATGGCTCTCCATTTAATTCTATTCCATTTCACTCCAATCCAATCCAGTCACCTCCACTCTATTCTACTCCACACCATTCCACTCCACCTTCTTCTCTTCCATTGCATTTCACTCCATTCCATTCCAATGCTCTCTGTACCATTCCACTGCTATCCATTCCACTCCATCCAATTCCACTTCATGCCATACCAGTCCACTCCACTCCATTCCACTCCACTGCACTCCACTACATTCCATTCCATTCCTTTCCAATCCATTCCATTTCACTCCACTCCATTCCATTCCACTACACTCAAATCCATTCCATTCCTCTCCACTCCATTCCATTCCCCTCCATTCCACTCCTCTCTATTCCACTCCACTTCACTCAATTCCACTAAACTCCATTCCATTCCTTTGCACTCCATTTCACCTCACTCCACTCCTTTCCACTACACTCCACTCCATTCTATTCCACTTCACTCCTCACCAATCCATTACCCTCCATTCCATTGAATTCCATTCATGTCCCCTACATTCTATTCCATTCCATGCCACTCCATGTCATCCCATTCCACTCCATTCGATTCCACTCCACTCCATTCCAATCAACTCCAATCCACTCCATTCAATTCCACTCCACTACTCTCCGTTCCATTCCACTCCATTCCTTTCCACTCCACTCCATTTTATTCCACTCCATTCAATTCCCCTCCACTCCATTCCATTTCCTTCCACTCCATTTCATTCTACTCCACTGCATTCCATTCCACTGCACTCTCTTCCATTCCGTTAAATTACGCTCCATTCCATTCCACTCCACACCACTAAACTCCATTCCACTCCATTACCCTCAATTCCATTCCACTGCACTTCATTTTATTTCACTCCACTCCATTCCATTCCACTGCATTCCATTCCACTCCATTGCATTCCATTCTATTCCATTCCATTCCATTCGACAACACTTCACTTCATTTCACTCCACTCCATTCTACTCAACTTCATTATATGCCATTCCATTCCACTCAATTCCGTTCCACTCCACTCAATTGAATTCCACTGCTACCCATTCCACTTCATTAAATTACACTCCACTCCACTCCACTACACTATTCTACACTCCATTCCATTCCATTCAAATCCAATCAACTCCATTCCATTCCACTACTTTCCGTTCCACTCCATTCCATTCCCTTTCCTTCCACACCATTCCATTCCACTCCACTCCATTCCATTCCACTCCACTCCATTCCATTCCTTTGCTTTCCAATTCATTTCCTTCCATTCCAATACATGACATTCCACTACAATCCATTCCATTCCACTCCATTCCACCCCACTTCATTCCATTCCATTCCACTTCATTCCACTCCATTCCACTCCAATCCGTTCCACTCCATTCCATTCCATTCCTCTCCACTTCATTACTTTCCATACCATGCCACTCCAGGTCATTCCATTCCAATCCTCTCCACTCCATTCCACTCCACTATACTCCGTTCCATTCCAGTCCTCTCTAGTCCATTCCAGTATACTCCATTCCACTCCACTCCTCTCCTCTCCACTCCACTCGACTCCACTCCACTTCATTCCATTCCATTCCATTCCATTCCACCCCATTCCACTCCAATCCGTACAACTCCATTCCATTCCAATCCACTCCATTCCACTCTACTCCACTTCACTCCATTTCACTCTACTCTATTCTTAACCACTCTACTGAACTCAACTCCCCTCCAATCCACTACTTTCTTCTCCACACCATTCAATTCCACTGCACTCCACTGTACTTCATTCCATTCAATTCCATTGCAATCCACTCCAATCCACTCCATTCCTTTCCAATCCATTTCATTCTGCTCCATTCCATATCATTCCACCCCAATCCACTCCAATCCATACAACTCCATTCTATTCCCTACACTCCATTTCACTTCACTCCACTCTGATCTACTTCATTCCATTCCACTCCGATTCACTCCACTCCATTCCATTTCAATTCATTTTATTCCATTCCACTCCACCCCATTACTTTCAACTCCACTCCATTCCTCTTCCTTTCAGTCCACCTAACTACATTCTATTCCATTCCATTCCATTCCACTCCTTTCTAATTAACTCCTCTCCATGCCATTCCGATTCATTCCAATCCACTCCACTCTACTCCCCTTCACTCCATTCCATTCCACTCCCCTCAATTCCACACCATTCCACTCCATTCCATTACATTCCACTCCATTCCACATTATTCCATTCCGTTAAAATCCATTCCATTCTACTCCATTCCATTCCACTCCGTTCCATTCCATTCCACTCCACTCCATTCCACTCCATTCCATTCCATTCCATTCCATTCCATTCCATTCCATTCCATTCCACCTCACTCCATTCCATTCAATTCCACTCCATTCCACTCCACTCCATTCCATTCGCCTCCACTCCACTCAATTTCGTTCAACTCCAGGCAATTCCAGTCCATTCCATTCCTCTCCATTTCACTCCATTCCATTCCCCTCCCCTCCATTCCAATCAACTCCACTCCACTCCACTCAACACAATAGCATTCAACCTCATTCCATTCCACCCCACTTCATTCCACTCCACTCCGCTCAACTCCATTCCATTACAATTCACAACACTCCACTCCACCCCACACCATTCCACTCCACTCCACTCGATTCCACTCGATTCCACTCCATGCCTATTCACTCCAATGCACTCTAATTCTCTCCCCTCCATTCCACTCCACTACAATCCATTCAATTCCTTTCCACTCCATTCCATTCCATTGCACTCCATTCCATTCCACTCCCCTCCAATGCACTCCATTCCATTCCACTCCAGTCCACTCCACTCCCCTGAATTACAGTTCTTTCCATTTTATTCCATTCTTTTCCATTCCTTTCCTTTCCGCGCCATTCCCTTAAATTCCATTCCACTTCACTACAATCATTCTACTCCACTACACTCCATTCCACTCAATCCAGCCCATTCCATTCCATTCCACACCATTCCATTCCACTACACTGCATTCCACTCTACTCCACTACATTCTAATACACTCCATTCCATTCCTTTTCATTCCACTCCATTCCATTACACTCCATTCAACTCCAGTCTGCTCCATTCAACTCCACTCCATTCAACACGACTCCACTGCAAACCATTCCACACCACTCCATTCCATTCCACTCCCATTTCATTCCAAACCTCTCAACCCTATTGCACTCCACTCTCTTCCTTTCCATTCCACTCCATTCCATTCCACTCCTCTCCATTACACTCCACTCCACTGAATTTCTCTTCCTTTCATTCCATTCCATTCCATTCCATTGCATTCCACTCCACTCCATTCCACTAAACTACACTCAACTCCAATCCATTCAACACTACTCCATTCCATTCCATTCCATTCCACTCCACGAAGTTTCATACCATTCCAATCTACTCCATTCCATTCCATTCCACGCCATTCCACTCCATATCATTCAACTGCATTCCAATCCATTGCATTCCACTCCATTCCGCTCCACTCAACTACACTCCACTCCACTGAATTCCATTCCACTACACTGCATTCCATTGCACTTCACTACATTCCATTCCATTCCATTCCATTCCAATTCACTCCATTCCATTCCATTCAATTCAATTGCTCTCCATTCCATTCCACTCCACTCCATTCCTCTCCACTCCATTCCATTTCACACCACTCCATTCCATTCCATTATATTCTACTCCACTACACTCCATTCCACTCCACTGCATTCTACTCCACTCAATTCCTTTCCATTCCTTTGCTCTTTATTCCATTCCATTCCATTCCACTACACAACTCTCCATCCACTCTACTTCATTCCCTTCCATTCCATTTCTTTCCAGTCCATTACATTCCACTCCACTTCATTCCATTCCTCTCCACTCCTTTCCACTGCATTCCACTCCATTGCAATTCAGTCCATTCCACTCCATTCCATTCCAGGCCATTCCACTCCACACCATTCCACTCCAATCCACTCCATTCGGCTCCACTCCATTCGGCTCCACTCCACTCCACTCCATTCCACTCCATTTCATTCCACTCCTCTCCACTCCATTGCATTCCAATCTATTCCACTCCATTACATTTCACTCCATTCCATTCCATTCAATTACATTCCACTCCATTCCATTGCAATTCACTCCTTTCCTTTCTATTCCAATCCATTCCTATCCATTCCCTTTTACTCCATTCATTTCCACTTGCTTCCACTCAACTCTAATCCTCTCCATTCATTCCATTCCACTACACTCCACTCCCCTCCATTCCACTCTACTCCATTCCATTCCACTCCATTCCATTCCTTTCCAATCAATTCCATTCCATTCTACTCAACTCCACTCCATTCCATTCCACTCAACTCCTATCCACTCCATTCCACTCCATTAAAATCCACTCCATTCCATTCCACTCCACTCCATTCCATTCCATTCCACTCCAGTCCATTTCATTCCATGACACTCCATTCTATTCCACTCCTGTAAATTCCATTTCATTCCACTCCATTGCATTCCATTCTATTCCATTCCATTCCTTTCCATTCCATTAAATTCCATTCCACTCCACTCCACTCCAGTCCACTCCAATCCATTCAAATTCACTCCTTTCCCTTCCATTCAATTACACTCCATTCTTTTCCATTCCTTTTCGGTCCTCTCCATTCCATTACAATCCACTCCATTCCACACCATTACAATCCACTCTACTCCATTGCATTCCATTCCACTCCATTCCCTTCCACTCCCTTCCGTTCCATTCCATTCCATTCCATTCCAGTCCACTCCATTCCGTTCCATTCCACTCCACTCCATTCCATTCCACTCCACTCCATTCCATTCCTTTCCACTCCATTCCATTCCTTTCCACTCCATTGCGTTCCATTCCATTCCACTCCACTCCACTCCATTCCATTCCATTGCATTCAATTGCATTCCATTCCATTCCGATCCAATTCTTTCCATTGTATTCCACTCCACTGCACTGCACTCCACTCAACTCCTCTCCATTCCATTACTCTCCATTCCATTCCATTCCACTCCATTCCTCTCCATTCCATTCCCTTAAATTCCACTCCACTAAATTCCACTCAACTCCATTCCATTCCACTCCTCTCAAATCCACTCAACTCCTCTCCTTTCCACTCTATTCCATTCCTTTCCATTCTATTCCATTCCATTCCACTCCACTCCAATCCACTTCATTCCTTTTCATTCCGTTCCAATAAATTCCATTCAACTCCATTCCACTCCACTGCATTCCCCTCCACTCCTCTTCATTCCATTCCACTCCAATACATTCCATTCCACTAAACTCCACTCCATTCCACTCCAGACCATTCCAATCCATTCCATTCCATGACACTCCACTCCATTCCACTCCACTCCATTCCATTCCGTTCCACACCATTCCATTCCATTCCTTTACTTTCCACTCGATTACGTTCCATTCCACTGCATTCTGTTCCATTTCAATCCATTCCATTCCATTCTTTCCATTACATTTCAATCCATTCCATTCCATTCCATTCCTTTCCATTCCATTCCATTCCATTCCTCTTCTCTCCTCTCAACTCCATTCCACTCCGTGCCTTTCCACTCCACTCCATTCCATTCCATTCCACTGCATTACCCTCCACTCAACTCCACTCCATTCCCTTGCATTCCATTCAATTTCATTGAATTCCATTGCATTGCAGTCCATTCCATTCCATTCCACTGCAGTCCATTCAATTCCACTCCAAACCTTTCCACTCCATTCCAAGCCATTTTTCTCCATAGAACTCCACTCCTTTCCATTCCACTCCTTTACACTCCACTCCAATCTAATCCACTCCAGTCCACACCATTCCACTCTACACCATTCCATTACACTCCATTACATTCCATTTCATTCCATTCCATTCCATTCCATTTCATTCAATTCCATTTCGTTCCATTCCAATCCATTCCATTCCACTCCACTCCATTCTATTCCTTTTCATTCCACTCCACTCCATTCCATTCCACTCCTTTCCTTTGCATTCTATTCCATTTCATTCCATTCCATTCAATTCCGTTTTATTCCATTCTGGTCCACTCCTCTCCACTACATTCAATTCCACTCCATTCCAATCCACTTCATTCCTTTCCATTCAGTTCTACTCCATTACATTCCACTTCACTTCATTCCATTACAGTGCTCGCCATTCCACTCCATTCCATTACACTCAACTCCATTGCACTCTGTTCACTCCACTCCATTCCACTCAACTCCACTACCCTCCGTTCCACTCCACTCCATTCCACTCCCCTCCACTCCACTGCATTCCATTCCTCTCCAATCCATTCCACTCCATTCCATTTCACTGCTCTGCACTCCATTTTATTCCACCCCACTCCATTCCATTCCACTCCATTACACTCAATCCCATTCCACACTTACATTCCATTCCATTCCATTCCATTCCATTCCATTCCATTCCATTCCATTCCATTAAATTTCATTCCATTTCCATTCCATTCCGTTCCATTCCACTCCATTCCATTCCCTTCCACTGCACTCAAATTTATTCCACTCCACTAGACTACAGTCCACTTCATTTCATTCCATTCCACTCTATTCCCCTCCATACCATTCAATTCCACCCCACTCCACTCCATTCCACTCCACTCCATTCCATTCCACTCCTAAATTCCACTCCTTTCCACTCCATTCAATTTCTTTCCATTCCATTAAATTATATTCCATTGCACTCCACTCCACTCCACTCCTCTCCTCTCCTCTCCATTCCTTCCCACTCCATTACGTTTCGTTCCACTCCATTCCACTCCATTACACTCCATTCCACTCCATTCTACTCGATTCCATTCCATTCCTCTCCTCTGCATTCCATTCCACTCTACTCCATTCCATTCCATTGCACCCCATTCCAATCCATTCCATTCTACTCCACTCCATTCCATTCCATTCCATTCCACACCACTCTACTCCACTCCTCTTTATTCCAATCCTTTCCACACCACTCTACTCCATTCCACTCCATTCCGCTCCACTTCACTCGTTTCCTTTCCACTCCACTCCTTTCCATTCCACTCCACTCCATTCCACTCCACCCCACTCCATTCCATTCCATTCCATACCACTCTATACCAGAGCATTCCATTCTAATCCACTCCACACGATTCCATTCCACTCCACTCCATTCTATTCCAATCCATTCCATTGCACTTCAAACCATCCCATTCCATTCCACTCCAGTCCACTCCATTCCACTCCAGCATAGTCCATTCCATTCCACTCTAGTTTATTACATTCCAACCCACTCCATTCAATTGTACTCCATACCAATCCATTTCATTCTACTCCAATCCTATCCATTCCTTTCCATTCCATTCCACTCCACTCTACTTCATTCCACTCCACTCCTTTCAAATCCACTCCATTTTATCCCATTCTATTCCACTCCGTTCCTTTGCATTCCATTCCAACCCACTCCATTCCATTCCAGTCCACTTCTCTCCCCTCCCTTCCACTCCGTTTCATTCCTCTCCATTCCATTCCCTTCAACTCCATTCCATTCTACTCCACTCGATTTTAATCCACTTAATTACACTCCTCTCCCGTCTACTCCATTCCACTCACTCCATTCCATTCCACTCCACTCCAATCACCTCCACTCCAGTCCACTGCATTCTATCCAACTGCAATCCGCTCCATTCTACTCCATTCGTTTCCATTCCATTCCACCCCAGTACACTCCATTCCAATGCAATCTTCTCCACATCTTTCCACTGCTTTCAATTCCATTCCATTCCACTCCACTCAATTCCATTCCGTTCCACTCCACTCAATTCCATTCCGTTCCACTCCACTCAATTTCATTCCACTCCAGTCCACTCCATTCCACTTTATTCCACTCCATTCCATTCCATTCCATTCTTCATTGAATTCCATTACATTCCAGTCCAATCCATTCCGCTCAATTCCATTCAATTCCACTCCACTCCTTTCCACTCCATTCCATGCCATTCCACTCCGTACAACTCCACTCCATTCCATTCCACTCTATTTCACTCCACTCTTTTCCATTCCTCTCCACTCTACTATATTCAACTCCTCACCATTCCATTCCACTCCATTCCATTCTATTACACTCCACTCCACTCCATTCCATTCCATTTCATTCCAATCCACTCCACTCCATTCCACACTGCTCAATTCCATTCCTTTCCATTCCATTCCTTTCCATTCCACTCCTCCCCACTACGTTCCACTCCACTGCATTCCAATCCACTTCATTCCGATCCATACAGTTATACTCCATTACATTCCACTCCTCTTCATTCCATTTCACTGCTCGACATTCTATTCCATTCCATTACCCTCAACTCGACTACACTCCATTCCACTCCACTCCATTCCACTCCAGTCCACTCCAATGCATTCCACTACACTCCATTCCATTCCACACCATACCATTCCATTCCACTGCACTCCATTTTATTCCACTCCACTCCATTCCATTCCACTCCATTCTATTCAATTCCATTCCACTCTTCCATTCCACTCCATTCCATTCCACTCCATTCCATTCCACTCCATTCCTTTCCATTCCACTCCATTCCTTTCAATGCCACCGCACTCCAGTTTATTTTTATCTATTACATTACATTACACTCCATTTCATTCCATCCCACTCCTTTCCCCTCCATAGTATTCCATCCCACTCTATTCCACTCCATACCACTCTACCCCATTCCATTCCACTACACTCAATTCACTCCATTCCAATCCATTCAACTCCATTCCATTCCTTTCCATTCCATTCCATTCCATTTCATTCCACTCCACTCCACTCCAATCCACTCCACTCCATTCCATTCCATTCTATTCCATTCCACTCCACTCCTCTCCTCTGCACTACACTCCACTCCTCTCCTCTGCACTACACTCCACTCCTCTCCCCTCCATTCTATTCCACTGCATTCCATTCCTCTCCACTCCACTCCATTACACTCCATTACACTCCATTACACTCCATTCCACTCCATTCCACTCCATTCCATTGCATTCCTCTCCACTCCATTCCATTCCATTCTACTCCATTCCATTCCATTCCACTCCATTCCATTCCTTTCAATTCCATTCCATTATATTGCATTCCATTCCATTCTACTGCACTCCATTCCATTCCACTCCAATCCATTCAATTCAAATCCACTCCATTCCAGTCCACTCCATGCCATTCCATTGCACACCACTCCACCCTATTACATTCCACTCCATTCCACTCCACTCTACTCCATTGAACTTCACTCTACTCTATTCCTCTCCACTCTATTCCAACTCACTCCACTCCACTGCATTCCACTCCACTCCACTGCATTCCACTCCATTCCATTCCATTCCACTGCACTACATTATATTCTACTCCACTCCATTCAATTCCTCTCCTTTCCATTCCTTTACATTCCACTCCAATCCACTCCATTCCACTATATGTCAATCCATTCCACTCTTCCATTGCATTCCATTCCATTCCATCCCCTTCCTTTCCATTCCACTACATTCCGTTCCATTCCACTCAATTCTGTTCCATTCCATTCCACTACGCTCCATTCCCCGATACTCCAGTTTATTCCACCCCACTACATTACATTCCTTTCCATTTCACTCCATTCCAATACATTCCCTTCCTTACCATTCCATTGGACTATACTCCACTCCATTCCACTACACTTAATTCCACTCCATTCCACTCCATTCCACTCCATTCCATTCCATTCCATTCCATTCCATTCCATTCCATTTCACTACACTCCAATCCAGTCAATTCCGTTCCATTCCATTCCACTGCACTCAATTCCACTAAAATCTACTTAATTCCACTCCATTTCATTCCATTCCACTGCACTGCGTTTTATTCCACTCCACTCCATTCAATTCCTCTCCACTCCATTCCTTTACATTCCACTCGAATCCACTCCATTCCAATCCATTCTTTTCCCTTCCCGTCTACCCCACTCCATTCCACTCCATTACATCCCATTCCTCTCCACTCTATTCTTTCCTCTACAATCCACTCCGTTCCATTCCACACCATTCCATTCCACAACACTCCACTCCATTCCACTCCTCTCCCTTCCACTCCACTAGCCTCCATTCAACTGTACTCCATTCCATTCCACCCCATTCATTCCATTCCACACCACTCTATTCATTGCACCGCACTCCATTCCATTCCACTCCATTCTAATCCATTACATTTTATTCCATTCCATTCCACTCCATTCCACTACATTCCAATCCATTCCACTCCATTCGACTCCATGCCATTCCATTCCACTCCCCTCCACTTCCCTCTAGTGCACTCAACTCCATTCAACTCCGCTGCGTTTTATTCCATTCCGTTCCACTCCATTCCTTTCCATTCCATTCCATCCCACTCCATTCCATTTCAATCCACTCCTCTGCATTCCATTCCACTCCACTCCATTCCTCTCCATTCCATTCCATTCAACTCCATTCCATTCCACTCCACTCCATTCCAACTCACTCCATTCCACTCCACTCCTATCACCTCCACTCTAGTTCATTCCTCTCCACTCCATGCCATTACATTCCCTTCCACTGCATTCCATTCCATTCCACTCCACTCCACTCCATTCCAACTTATTCCACTCCGTTCCATTCCAGTCCATTCCAGTCCTCTCCATTCCAAACCACTCTATTCCACTCCACTCCATTCCATTCCATTCCATTCCACACCACTCTTCTCCACTCCACTCTATCCCAATCATTTCCACACCTCTCTACTCCATTCCACTCCAGTCCACTCGTTTCCATTCCACTCCATTCCATTCCATTCCACTCCGCTCCTCTCCACTCCACTCCATTCCATTCCACTCCACATCTCTCTATACCACAGCATTCCATTCCACTCCACTCCACTCAATTCCATTCCACTCCACTCCATTCCATTCCAATCCATTCCATTCCATTCCACTCCACTCCATTCCATTCCATTCCAATCCAATCCCTTCCATTCAACTGCAGCCCAGTCCATTCCATTCCACTACATTCCAATCCATTCCTTTCCACTCCATTCCATTCCACTCTACTCTACTCCATTCCACTCCTCTCCATTCAAGCCCACTGCATTTTATCCCATTCCATTCCATTAAATTCCTTTCCTTTGCATTGCATTCCAACCCACTCCATTCCATTCCAATATACTCTTCTCCACTCCCTTCCAATCCACTCCATTCCTCTCCATTCTATTCCCTTCAACTCCATTCCATTCCTCTCCACTCCATTCTAATCCACTTAATACCACTCCACTCACATCTACTCCACTACACTCACTCCAATCCATTCCACTCCACTCCATTCACCTCCACTGCAGTCCACTACATTCTATCCAACTCCATTCCATTCCATTCTACTCCATTCCTTTCCATTGCATTTCACCCCACTACACTCCATTCCAATCCATTCCTCTCCCCAAATTTCCACTGCATTCCATTCCATTCCATTCCACTCCATTCCATTCCACTCCACTCAATTCCCTTCCACTGCCATCCACTATATTCTGTTTTATTCCACTCTATTCCAATCCATTCCATTCCACTCCATTCCATTCCACTCCATTCCACTTAATGCCTTTCCATTCCATTCCACACCACTCTTCTCCACTCCACTCTGTTCCATTCCATTACACATCACTCTACTCCACTCCACTCCATTCCACTGTAATCCACTCGTTTTCATTCCACTCCAATCCACTCCATTCCTCTCCAATCCATTCAACTCCACTCCATTCCATTCCACTCCACTCGATTCCATTCCTCTCCACAACATGCCATTCCACTCTACTCCATTCCACTCTACTCCACTCCACTCCGTTCCACTCCACTACAATCCATTCATTCCATTCCACACCACTATATTCCATGGCACTCCATTCCAATCCACTCCACTCAGTTTTAACCCACTCAACTCCATTGCACTCCAGACCACTCCATTCCATTCCACTCTATTCCACTTCCCTCTATTCTATTAAATTCCGTGCCACTCCACTCAATTCCTCTCCAGTCCATTCTTTTCCATTCCATTCCATTCAATTCCATTCCACTCTATTCAATTTCTTTCCATCCCGTTCCATTGCATTCCACTCCACTCCATTCCATTCCATTCCACTACATTCCATTCCATTCCATTTCGCTCCATTTTATTCCACTCCACTCCATTTGATTCCCTCCATGACATTCCATTCCACTCCATTCCATTCCATTGAATTCTATTCGATTCCACTTGACTCCATTCCATTCCACTCCATTCCTTTCCATTCCACTCCTTTCCATTCCATTCCATTCCATTCCATTGAATTCCATTCCACTTCACTAAGTTCCATTCCACTCCACTCCCTTCCAATCCACTTCATTCGATTCCATTCCATTCCACGCCATTCCAATCCACTCCACCTCTTTTTATTCCACTGTTCTCCTTTCCACCTCACTCCACTTCACTCCTTCCTACTCCACTGCACTCCACTCCACTCCACTCTATTCTGTTCCATTCCATTCCATTCAGTTCCATTCCATTCCACTGCATTCCATTCCAGTACACTCCATTCCATTCAATTCTCTCCACTCTATTCCATTCCTCTACTTTCCTCTCCACTGTATTCCACTCCACTCCTCTCCATTCTACTGCACTCCATTCCATTCTACTCCTCTCCTGTTTATTCTACTCCACTCCATTTCATTCCACTCCCTTCCACTCCATTCCATTCCACTCCGTTTCATTCCATTCCATTCCATTCTGATCTACTCTTCTCCATTCCACTCCACTCCATTCCATGCCTTTCCATTCAACTCCATTCCATTCCACTCCAATCCATACAATCCCACTGCTATTCATTCCACTTCATTAAATTCCCCTCCACTCCACTCCAATCCGCTACACTCCTTTTTCTTCCAATCCATTCCATTCCTTTTCATTCCACTCCATTCCATTTCGTTCCTTTCCAATCCACTCCATTCCATTCTCCTCCAATCCACTCCATTACATTCCATTCCACTCGATTCAATTCCATTTCACCCCTTCCCTTGCACTCCACTCCATTCCACTCCACTTCACTCCATTCCCTTCCACTCCTCGCCTCTCAAATCCACTCCACTTCACTCCATTCCATTCCTCTCCACTCCATGCTATTCCATTCCATACCACTCATTGTCATTCCATTCGTCTCCAATCCATTCCAATCCACTCCACTCCATTCCACTCCAATACACTCCGTTCCACTCCACTCCTTTCCAATCCACTCCACTCCACTCCACCCCATTCCATTCCACGCCACTCCATTCCATTCCACTCCATTCCACTACACTGCCCTCCATTCCATTCCATTCCATTCCGCTCCATTTTATTTCACTCCACTGCATTCCATTCCAGTGCACTGCATTCCATTCCATTAAATTCCACTTCACTCTATTCCATTCCATGCCACTCAACTGCATTCTACTCCATTACCCTCAATTCCATTCTATTCCACTCCATTCCACTCCATCCAGCTTCACTCCCCTCCAGTCCACTCCATTCCATTATGTTCAACTCAATTCCATTCCACCCCACTCCTATTTATGCCACTCCACTCCATTTCATTCCACTCCATTCCATTTCATTCCTTTCCATTCCATTTCATTCCTTTCCATTCCATTTCATTGCATTCCATTCCGTTCCATTGCATTCGAATCCACTCTTCCAAATTCCACTCCAATCCATTCCACTCCACTTCATTCCATGCCATTCCATTCAACTCCATTCCATTCCACTCAACTGCATACAATCCCACTATTCATTCCACTTCATTAAATTCCCCTCCACTCCTCACCACCCACTCCTCTACACTCCTTCTACTTCCATTCCTTTGCATTCCATTTCATTCCACCACATTCCATTCCATTCCTTTCCACTCCACTCCATTCAATTCTCCTCCACTCCACTCCTTTACAATCCATTCCACTCTATTCCATTCCATTTCACCCCTTCCAATGCACTGCACTCCATTCTAATCCACTCCATTCCACTCCCCTCCTCTCCTCCCCTTTCTATTCCAAAGCACTCCACTGCATTCCCCTCCACTCCATTCCACTCCACTTCAGTACATTCTATTCCATTCCACTGCATTCCACTCCACTCCATTCCACTCCACTCCATTCTACCCCATGTATTCCATTACATTTGATGCCACTCCATTCCACTCCATTCCATTGCATTCCACTTCACTCCACTACATTCCATTTCATTCCATTCCGCTCCATTGTACTCCATTACATTCAATTCCACTCCAGTCCACTCCACACCACTCCACTCCACTCTTCTACCTTACACTCCAATCCACACCTTTAACTTCCACTCCACTCCACCCCACTCCACTCCATTCCATTCCCCTCAATTCCATTCCCCTCCACTCCATTTCATTCCATTCCTCTCCATTTCATTCCACTCCACTGCATTCCATTGCAATGCACTCAATTACATTCCATTAAATTCCACTTCACTCCATTCAGTCAAACATCACTCAACTCCATTCTCCTCCATTTCCCACAATTCCATCCCATTCCATTCCACTCCTTTCCACTCCTCTCCATTCCATTCCCCTCCACTCCACTCCATTACACTCCATTCCTCTCGATTCCATTCCATTTCACCCCATTCCATTGCAATCGATTCCACTCCATTCCATTCCACTCCAATCCACTCCATTCCTATCCACGACATTCTACTCCACTCCATTCCATTCCATTTGATGCCACTTCATTCCCCTCCATTCCATTCCATTCCACTCCACTCTATTCCATTACATTACATTCCACTCCATTCTAATCCATTACATTCCATTTCACTCTAGTCCACTCCAAACCACTTAACTTCATTCCACTCCACTCCATTTCACACCTTTCCCGTGCGCTCCACTCCACACCACTCCACTCCACTCCACTTCACTCCACTACATTCCATTCCATTCCATTCCACTCCACTCCACTCCACTGCTCTCCAATTCATTGGACTCCATTCCATTCCATTCCATTCCATTAAATTCCATTAAATTTGTTTCCAATACATTCTATTCCATTCCATTCCATTCCATCCATTCCATCCCATTCCATTCCATTCCATTCCATTCCACTCCATTCCATTCCAATCCATTCCATTCCGTTCCATTCCATTCCACACCACTTCATTCCATTCCATTCCACACCACTTCATTCCATTCCATTCTATTCCATTCCATTCCATTGCATTCCACTCCATCCCATTGCATTCCATTCGATTCCACTTCATTCCATTCCACTAGACTCCATTTCATTACAATCCACTCCAATCCATTCCATTGCGTTCCAGTTGATACCATTCCACTCCATTCCTCTCCACTCCATTCCATTCCACTCCACTCAATTCCATTCCACTCTCCTCCATTCCATACCATTCCTTTACACTCCAATGCAATCCACTACTCTCCATTCCATTCCACTCCATTCCACTCCTTTCCATTCCATTCCAATAAACTTCATTCCTTTCCACTCCATTCTACTCCTCGTGACTCCATTCCACTCGACTCCATTCCACTCCACTCCATGCCATTCCATTCCTTTCCACTGCATTCCATTCTACACCACTCCACACTGTTCCACTCCACTCCTTTCTGCTACATTCCACTCCATTCCTTTTCACTTCTCCCCACTCCACTCCATTCCATTCTACTCAATTCCACTCCACTCCAATCCATTCAACTCCACTCTATTCCACTCCGTCCATTTCATTCTATTGGACTGCATTCCATTCCAGTCAACTCCATTCCATTCCAGTCCAATCTATTCCATTCCATTCCACTTCATTTGATTCCACTTCTCTCCAATCCACTCCACTAAACTCCATTGCACTTCACTACCTTCCCTTCCACTCCATTCCTTTACACTACACTCCATTCCAATCCATTCCATTCCATACCCCTCCATTCCATTCCACTACACTCTACTCCACTCAGTTCCACTCCACTCCATTCCATTCAACTCCACTCCACTCCATTCCACTCCATTTCAATCCATTCCAGTCCAGTCTAGTACATTCCATACCACTCCACTCCATTCCATTCCATTCCGCTCCATTCAATTCCTATCTCACCATTTCTCTCCACTAAACTCCATTCCTCTCCACTCCTTTCCACTCCACTCGTTTCCATTCCTATACATTCCATTCCATTCCATTCCATTCCATTCCATAACAATCCATTCCACTCCACTCCACTTCATTCCATTCCAATCAACTCTATTCCACTCCAATCCATTTCTCTCTACTAAATTCCACTTGACTCCATTCCATTCCTTTCCATGCCACTCTATTCCACTCCATTCTATTACATTCCACTCCACTAAACTCCGTTCATTTTCACTCCTTTCCACTCCATTCTACTGATTCCATTCCATGCCACTTCACACCACTCCACTCCACTCCACTCCAATCCTCTCCATCCAATTCCATTCTATTCCATTCCACTACACTCCATTCCACCCATTCCACACCACTCTTCACCACTCCACTCCACACCACTCCACTCCATTCCGTTCCATTCCACTCCATTCCACTCCAACAGACTTGAATCCACCCCACTCCACTCCACTTCTTTCTGTATTTCTCCATTGCATTCTATTCCAGTACACTCCATTTCATTCCACTCCACTACATTCCATTACACTCTATTACACTCCATTCAATTCCCCCCATTCCATTCCATTCCATGTAATACCATTCCATTCGATTCCTTTCGATTCCATTCCATTCCATTCCATTCCATTCCATTCCATTCCATTTCATTCCATTCCTTTCCATTCCATTCCATTAAATTCCCTTCCAATTCATTCCATTCGAATGCATTCCATTCCATTCCATTCCTTTCCACTGCAGTTCTTTCCATTCCATTCCATTCCATTCATTTCCATTCCACTCTATTCCATTGCATTCCTATCGATTCCAATCCATTCTATTCCTCTCCACTCCATTCCATTACACTCTACTCCAATCCATTCCATTGCATTCCATTCCATTCTTTGCGACACCTTTCCACTCCATTCCCCTCCACTCCACTCCATTCCACTCCATTCCATTCCACTCCTTTCCACTCCACCCCTTTATAATACACTCCACCCCATTCCATTCATTCATCTCCATTCCGTTCTATTCCATTCCATTCCATTCCATTCCACTCGTTACACGTCTTTCCATTCCATTGCATTCCATTTCAATACATTCCATTCCATTCCACTTCATCCTACTACACCCCAATCGATTTCACTCGACTCCTATCCACTCCACACCATTCCATTCCATTCCTTTCCACTGCATTCCATTCCATTCCACTCCACACAATTTCACTCCGCTCCTTTCTGCTACATACCACTCCATTCCACTTCACTCCAGTCCACTCCAATCCATTGCACTCCACTCCAGTCCAATCCACTCCATTCCAATCCACTTTATTTCATGCCATTCCACTACATTCCATTGCAATCAATTCCATTCCATTAAACACCACTCTATTGCATTAGACATCACTCTTTCTTTCCATTCCACTACAGTTGATTCCATTCCTCTACATTCCACTCCACTAAATTCCATTCCTCTCCACTACATTCCATTCCATTCCACTCCATTCTATTCCATTCCATTCCATAACACTTCATTACATTACATGACACTCTACCCCACTCAATTCCACTCCACTCCATTTCATTCCACTCCACTCCACTCCAATC
Organism: Homo sapiens; assembly: GCF_000001405.40. Classification (NCBI taxonomy): domain Eukaryota; kingdom Metazoa; phylum Chordata; class Mammalia; order Primates; family Hominidae; genus Homo; species Homo sapiens. The sequence continues at coordinate 90,190 of NT_187391.1, read as the reverse complement.
CACTCCATTCCAATCCACTCCAGTACACTCAAGTCCATTCCATTACACTCCACTCCACTCCATTCCACTCCGTTACACTTCCTTCCATTCCATTCCAATCCATTCCAATCGATTCCACTCTACTCTACTCCACTCCGTTGCTTTCCATTCCACTCCAGTGCACTTTTTACCACTCTATTCCATTGCATTCACTCCATTCCTCTCCATTCATTTCCCCTCTATTCCATTCCATTCCATAGCATTACATTCTATTCCATTCCACTCCAGTCGACTTCACTCCACTCCATTCTATTCAACTCCATTCCATTCCACTCCCCTCCATTCCACTGCACCCCATTCCATTCCACTCCAATCCATTCCATTCCACTCCACTCCACTCTATTGCAATCCATTCCACTGCATTCCATTCCATTCCATTCGACTCCAATCAAATCCATTCCACTCCACTCCATTACATTCCTTTCCATTCCATTCCATTCCACTCCATTACACTCCATTCCATTTCATTCCATGCCTCTCTGTTCTACTCCATTACATTGCATTCCACTCCATTCCACTCCAATCCTCTCCATTCCATTTCACTCCTCTCCATTCCACTCCATTCCACACCTTTCCTTTCCACTCCAGTCCACATCACTCGGCTCTACTCCACCTCACTCCAGTCAATTCAATTCCATTCCTTTCCATTCCATTCCTTTTTCTCTAAATTCCATTCCAATCCAGTGCTCTCCGTTCCACTTCACTCCATTCCAGTCGACTCCACTCCTCTCCATTTCATTCCATTCTATTCTAGTATATTCCTTTCCATTCCAGTATATTCCATTCCACTCTACTCCATTCCATTTCACACCATTCCACTCTTTTCCGCTCCATTCACTCCATTGCATTCCATTCCGCTCAATTTCACTCCACTACACTCCACTCAACTCCACTTCATTGAATTCCATTTCACTCCATTCCATTCCATTCATTTCCACTCCAATCCTCTCCATTCAATTCCATTTCCCCTCACTCCTTTCAATTCCACTCCATTCCACTCCACTACATTCCACTCAACTCCAATCCCCTCCTCTTCATTCCATTCCCTTCCATTCCACTCAACTCCACTCCATTCCACTCCATTCCACTCCATTCCATTCAATTCCATTCCATTACACTCCAATCCATTCCACTACACTACACTCTACTGCATTCCATTTCATTCCATTCCATTCAACTACAAATTCCTTTTAACTCCATTCCATTCCATTCCACTCCACTCCATTCCATTACACTCCATTATTTTCCACTCCATTTTATTCCACTCCACACCATTCAATTCCTATCCATTTCATTCCATTACACTCCTTTCCATTCCATTCCATTCCATTCAACTTCCCTACACTCCGTTCCACTCCACTCAATTCCACTTTCACTTCATTCGATTCCATTCCGTTCCACTGTATTCTATGCCTCTCCATTCCATTACATTACATTCCATTCAATTCCACTCCATTCCATTCCACTTCAATCCATTCCATTCCACTCCACTCCATTCCAGTCCCCTCCACTCCATTCCATTGCATGTCACTCCATTCCATTCCATTCCACTCCAATCCATCCTACTCTATTCCATTCCATTCTACTCCATTCCATTCCACTCCACTCCATTCCACTCCACTCCATTCCACTCCGCTCCATTCCTTTCTTGCATTCCACCTACTTCCATTCCCCTGCACTCCATTCCATTCCACTCCACTCCATTCCATTCCATTCGACTCCACTCCATTCCACTCCAATTCAGTCCTTTCCACTCCTCTCCATTACACTCCACTTCATCCATTCCAATCAATTCCATTCCATTCCGGTCCATGCCATTCCTTTCCACTCCACTGCATTCCAATCCATTCCACTCATTTCGATTCCTCTCCTCACCATTCCTCTCCACTAAAATCCATGCCACTTCATTCCATTCCGCTGCACTCCTTTCCATTCCAATACAGTCCAATCCATTCCACTCCTTTCCATTCCATTCCATTCCATACCATACCGGTCCGTTCCACTCCACTCCATTCCATTCCATTCCAATCTACTCTATTCCACTCGACTCCACTCCATTTTACTCCACTCCATTCCACTCCACTCCATTCCATTAAATTCCTTGCCACTCCGTTCCACTCCATTCTATTCCATTCCACTGCACTAGAGTCCATTCCATTACATTCCATTCCACTCCATTCTACTCCATTACATTGCATTCCACTCCAATCCACTGCAACACACTCCATTCCATTCCACAGTACTCCATTCCACTCATTTCCACACCATTCCATTCCACGCCACTCCAAGCCTCTCCACTCCACTCTACTGCACTCCACTACTCTCCATTCCATTCCATTCCTTTCCTTTGCACTCCACTCCATTCCACCCCACTCCACACCACTCTACTCCACTCCACTCCTCTCCATTACATTCCACTCCATTCCTTTACATTCCACTCCATTCCACTCCACCCCACTTCAGTCCTCCCAACTCCACTCCAATTCATTGCATTCCACTCCATTCCATTCCATTCCACTCCACTCGATTTTATTCCACTCCACTCCATTCCATTCCACTCCATTCCACTCCATTCCGTTCCCCTCCATTCCATTCAATTCCATGACATTACATTACATTGCATTCCATTTCGTTCCATTTCCTTTCATTCCATTCCCGTCAACTCCTCTGTGCTAAATTCCTTTCTATTTCACTCGATTCGTATCCATTCCATTCCATTCCATTCCATTCCACTCCAGTTCATTCTAGTCCTTTCTATTCCATTGCATTCCACTCCTTTGCATTGCATTCCTTTCGATTCCACTCCATTCCATTATACTCCACTAAATTCCATTACAATCAACTCCAATCCATTCCATTCCATTCCATTCCATTACATTCAATACCATTCCACTCCATTCCCCTCCACTCTATTCCATTCCACTCCTTTCCATTCCATTGCATTCCACACCTTTTTATTCCACTCCACGCCACTCCATTCCATTCCATTCCACTACATTCCATTCCATTCCATTCCGTTCCATTCCACTCCTTTCCATTCCATTCCAAACCACTCCTTTCCACTCCATTTCATTCCATTACAATACATTCAATCCCATTCCACTCCATTCCGTTCCATTCCACTCCTTTCCATTCCATTCCAAACCACTCCTTTCCACTCCATTTCATTCCATTACAATACATTCAATCCCATTCCACTCCATTCCATTCCACTCGAAACCACTCCATTCCACTCCATTCCATTGCATTCCATTCCAATACATTCAATACCATTCCACTCCATTCTACTCCATTCCACTCCATTGCAGTCGACTCCATTCCACCCCACTCCATTCCATTCCTTTCCACTCCATTCCATTCCACTCCACTCCAAACCATTCCACTCCACTTCTTTCCACTATATTCCAGTCCACTACATTTCACTCCACTCCACTCCACTCCATTCCACTCCACTCCACTCCATTCCATTCCACTCCATTCCACTCTACTCCATTCTACTTCACTCCAATCCATTCCAATTCACTCCATTCCACTCCACTCCATTTTATTCCATTACACTCTACTCCATTACAGTCTCCTCCATTCCATTCTACTCCACTCTATTCCATTGCATTCCACTACATTGGATTCCACCCCTATCCATTCCACTACAGTAAAGTCCATTCCACTCCACTCCACTCCATTCCATTCCACTCCACTGCATACCATTCCATTCGATTCCATTCCATTCCTTTCCATTCCATTCCATAGCACTCCATTCCATTCCACTACACTCTACTCCACTCAACTTCACTTCACTCCAGTCCATTCCACTCCATTCCACTGAATTCCACTCCATTCCATTCAACACCACTCCAATCCAGTATATTCCATTCCACTCCACTCAACTCCATTCCACTCCGTTACACTTCATTGCTTTCCATTCCACTCCGTTCCAATCCACTCCACTACACTCTATGCCACTCCGTTGCATTCCATTCCACTCCACTCCATTTTATTCCACTCCACTCCACTCCATTCCACTCCATTCCTTTCCCTCCATTCCATTCCATTCCATTCCACAGCATTGCATTCTATTCCATGTCACTCCTGTCCATTTCTTTCCACTCCATTCCACTAAAATCCATTCCATTCCACTCCACTACACTCCACACCATTCCATTTCACTCCTTTCCTCTCCAATCCATTGCTCTCCACTGCATTCCAGTCGACTCCATTCCACTCCACTCCACTCCACCACATTCTATTCCACAGCCTTCCTCTCCACTCCAATTCCCTCTATTCAACTCCACCCCATTCCATTCCACACCACTCCATTCCACTCCAGTCCCCTATATTCCACTCTATTCCTTTCCACTCCACTCCATTGCATTCCATTCCATGCCACTCCATTCCACTCCTTTCCATTGCATTCCATTCCACTCCACTCCATTCCATTTCATTCCATTCTACTCTGCTTTACTCCATTCCATTCCTGTCCACTCCACTCCACTCCACTCTATTCCATTCCACTTCATTCCTGTCCTTTCCACACCATTCCCTTCTACTCCACTCCACAATACTCCACTCCACCCCACCCCACTCCATTCCATTCCATTCCATTCCTTTACACTCCACTCCATTCCAATCCACTGGTCACAATTCCACTTCACTCCTTTCCACTCCACTCCACTCCACTCCACTCGTCTCCATTCCCTTCCATTCCAGTACTTTCCTTTCCATTCCAGTCCAATCCAATCCACTGTAGTCCATTCCATTTCACAGCACTCCACTACTTTCCACGCCATTACACTCCATTGCATTCCATACCACTCAATTTCACTCCATTCCACTCCACTCAAATCCGAGCCATTGCACTCCTTTCCACTTCATTCCAATCCATTCTTTACCATTCCACTCCATTCCATTCCACTCCATTGCACTTCGTTCCTCTCCATTCCACAACATTCCATTCAATTTCATCCCACTCCTTTCCACTCCACTCCATTCCAATCCACTCAATTCCACACCACTACACTCCATTCAATTCCATTCCACTCATGTACACTCCTTTCCACTCCACTCCATTCCACTCCACTCCATTCAATTCCATTCCATTCCATTCCACTACCGTACACTCCACTGCATTCCATTGCTTTCCATTCCACTCTGTTGTACTCCATTACATTACATTCCACTCCTGTCCACTCCATTCCACTCCATTCCATTCCATTCCATTCCACTCCATTCCTCTCCATTTCACACCATTCCATTCTACTACTCTCCATTCTACTCCACTCCACACCACTCCACTCCACCCCACTCCATTCCATTTCATTCCATTCCATTTCATTCCATTCCATTCCATTTCATTGTATTCCATTCCATTCACTTCCATTCCTTTACACTCCACTCCATTCCAATCTACTGGTCTCAATTTCACTTCATTCTTTCAACTCCACTCCACTGCACTCCACTCCACTGCACTCCTCTCCATTCCATTCGATTCCAGTCCACTCATTTCCATTCCAGTCCATTCCATTCCACTCTACTCCATTCCATTTCACAGCCCACCACTACTTAACACTCCATTAGTCTCCATTGCATTCCATTCCACTCAATTTCACTCCACTCCACTCCCCTCAACTCTGAGCCATTGCATTCCTTTCCACTTTATTGCATTCCATTCTTTTTCCACTCCACTCCATTCCATTCCATTCCACTCCACTTCATTCCACTCCATTCCACTCCATTCAACTCCATTTCACCGCACTCCTTTCCACTCCACTCCATTTCACTCCACTCCATTCCACAACACTCTACTTCAGTATACTCCATTCAATTCCATTCCACTCAACTACTCTCCTTTCCAGTCCACTCCATTCCACTCCATTCCATTCAATTCCATTCCATTCCACTCCCTTCCATTCCACTACCCTCCAACCCAATACATTCCATTGCATTCCATTCATTTCCATTCAATTCCTTTCAACTCCATTCCATGCCAATGCATTCCTTTCCATTTAGTTTCATTCCACTCCACTCCACTCCACTCTATTGCATTCCACTTAATTCCATTCCTTTCTATTCCACTCCATTTCATTCCACTCCACACCATTCTATTACAATCCATTTCATTGCATTCCACTCATTTCCATTCCATTCCATTCCATTTCATTCCAGTATGCTGCACTCCTTTCCACTACACTACATTCCATTCCGTTCAAGTCCACTCCACTCCACTCCATTCAACTCCCCTCCACTCCATTCCATTCAATTCCACTCCATTTCATTCCACTCCACTACATTCCTTTCCATTCAATTCTGTTCCATTCCTTTCCATTCGATTCCATTCCATTCCATTCCACTCCATTCCATTCCATTCCATCCCATTCCATTCCATTCCACTCCACTCCACTCCATGCCATTCCATTCCACTACTTTCTATTCCATTCCATTCCGCACTCCATTAGATTCCACTCCATTCCATTCTATTCCACTCCATTCCATTCCGTTCCATTCCAATCCACTTCATTCCATTCCACTCCACTCCACTCCTTTCCATTTTATTCCACTCCATTCCATTCCATTACACTCCTTTCCACTCCATTCCATTCCACTCCACTCCACTCCACTCCATTCCATTCCATTCCATTCCACACCACTCCACTCCACTCCACTCTATTCCATTGCAATCCATACGAACATACTCTACTCCATTCCATTCCACTAAACTCCATTCCATTCCACTCCACTCCTTTACACGCCATTCCCCTACATTCCATTCTACTGCATTCCCCTGCATTCTACTGCATTCCGCTCCGTTCCAATCCACTCCATAACAATCCACTTCATTCGATTCCATTCCTTCCATTCCGTTCCATTCTATTCCACTCCACTCCACTGCATTCCATTCCATTCCATTCCATTCCATTCCATTCCATTCCATTCCACTCTATTTTATTTCACTCCACTCGATTCCATTCTACTACACTCAATACCATTCCATTCCTTTCCATTCCATTCAATTGAATACCTCTCCTCTCCATTCAACTCAAATCAATTCCTGTCTGCTTCTCCCCATTCCATTCCACTGCACTCCATTTTATTCCACTCCACTCCATTCCATTCCACTCGATTCCATTCCATTCCATTGAATTCCATTCCATTGCATTCCATTCCTTTCGACTCCATTCCACTCCATTCCACGCCACTGCATTCCATTCCACTCCATTGCATTACACTCCACTCCTCTCCTTTCCACTCCACTCCATTTCACTCCACTCTTTTCTTTTCCACCCCAATCCATTTCACTCCACTCTTTTCTTTTCCACCCCAATGTATTCCATTCCATTTCACTCATTTCCATTCCCCTCCATTCCCTTCCATTGCATTCCACTCCATTCCATTCCACTCCACTCCATTCCACTCCATTCCTCACCATTCGAATCCACTCCACTCTATTGCATTCCATTCCACACCACTCTAATCCACTCCACTCCATTCCACTTCACTAAATTCCACTCCACTCGACTGCATTCCACTACCTTCCCTTCCACCCCAATGCATTCCATTCCATTCCACTCTATTCCATTCCACTCTACTCCATTCCATTCCACTACACTCCTTTACACTCCATTCCCATCCATTCCATTCTACTGCACTCCCCTCCATTCCACTCCACTCCTCTCCATTCCACTCTTCTATATTTCACTGCACTACAACCTTTACAGTCCACTCCATTGTATTCCATTCCACTCCATTCACTTCCATTCCAATCTATTCCACTCCATTCAACTCCATTCTATTCCCCTCCTAACCATTCCACTCCAATGAACTCCATTCCACTCAACTCCATTCCACTCCACTCCAATCCATTCCACTGCACTCCATTCCATTCCGTTACACTCCATTCCATTTCATTCCATTCCATTCCATACCTCTCCATTCCATTCCATTCCATTCCATTCCATACCTCTCCATTCCGTTCCATTCCATTCCATACCACTCCATTCCATTCCATTCCTTTCCATACCACTCCATTTCATTCCAGTCTACTCCATTCCACTCCACTCCAATCCATTCCACTGCACTCCATTCCATTCCGTTACACTCCATTCCATTTCATTCCAGTCTACTCCATTCCACTCCACTCCAATCCATTCCACTGCACTCCATTCCATTCCGTTACACTCCATTCCATTTCATTCCATTCCATTCCATACATCTCCATTCCATTCCATTCCATTCTATACCTCTCCATTCCGTTCCATTCCATTCCATACCACTCCATTCCATTCCATTCCTTTCCATACCACTCCATTTCATTCCAGTCTACTCCATTCCATTCCACTCCTATCCATTCCATTCCACTCCAGTCCATTCCATGCCATTAAACTCCATTCCACTACACTTCACTCCATTCCTCTCCAATACCCTTCATTCCATTCCACTGCATTCCTCTCCAATTCTCTAAACTAAACTCCACTCCTTTCTATTTCATTCCATTATATTTCATTCCATTCCCCTCCACTCCATTTCATTTCATTAAATTGCACTCTATTCTTTACCACTCCTATCCCTTCCAATCCGCTCCACTCCACTCCATTCACTCCGTTTCACTCAATTCCATTCCCTTCCACTCCATTCCACTCCATTCCACTCCACTTCACTCCACCCCACTCTACTCCATTCCATTCCATTCCCCACCATTCCAGTCCATTCCAAAACCTTCCATTCCATTCTATTCCATTCCACCCCACTCATCTCCATTCCATTCTACTACACTACATTCAATTCCACTACTCTCCATTCCACTCCCTTCCATTCTAATCCACTCCACTCCACTCCACTCTACTCCACTCCACTCCATTCCCTTCTACTCTTCTCCGTTCCATTCCACTCGATTCCACTCTTCCCCACTCCATTCCTTTCCATTGCACTCCATTCCATTCCACTCTGCTGCATTCCGTTCCTCTACACTCCTTTACACTCCATTCCCCTCCATTCCATTCCACTCTACTCCACTGCATTCCACTCCACTCCTTTCCATTCCACTCCATTCAAATCCTCTCGATTCCACTCCACTCCATCCATTCTTTTCAAATCCATTCCATTCCTGTCCACTCCATTCCACTCCACTCTATTCGATTCCACTCAACATTCCACTCCACTGAACTCTGTTCCATTCCACTCCATTCCATTCCAATCAACTCTGTTTTTTTTACAATTCCATTCCGTTCCATTTCATACCTCTCCATTCCATTCCACTCCACTCCATTCCATTCCAGTGCATTGCACTCTATTCAACTCCGCTCCACTCGATTCCACTCCCATCCTCTCCTTTCCATTCCACTGCACTCCTCTCCAATCCACCTGAATAAACTCCATTCCCTTCCGTCCCATTCTCTTCTGTTTCATTCAATTCCATCCCACTTCATTTTTCTCCAGTTTATTTCACTCCACTCCTCTCCAGTAAGCTCCAATCCACTCCATTGCATTCCATTCTTCTCCACTCCATGCCTTTCCATTTCATGCAACTACATATCATTCCATTAAATTCCACTCGATTCCACTCCACTTCACTCAATTCCACTCAATATCACTCCATTCCACTACATTCCATTCCACTCCACTCTACTCCATTCCATTCCATTCCATTCCATTCCATCACATTCCATTACAGTGCACACTATTCCACTCCACTCCACTCCACCTCATTCAATTCCTGTCCATTCCATTTCATTCCATTTCACTCCATTCCATTCCATTCCATTCCATTCCATTCCATTCCATTCCATTCCCCTTCACTGCATTCCATCGCAATCCACTCCATTTCATTCCACTCCACTGCATTACATTCCACTCCACTAAATTCCACTGCTTTCCATTCCCTTCCATTCCATTTGAATCCATTCCATTCCACTCCACTCCATTCCATTCCATTTCATTTCATTCCATTCCATTCCATTGAATTCCATTACACTCCATTCCATTCCACTCCATTCCATTCCCCTCCATTCCATTCCACCCCATTCCAACACACTCCATTCGACTCCACTCCACTTCATTCCATTCCACTCTATTCCACTCCACTCCATTGCATTTTACTCTATTCCATTCCATTCCACTTCATTCCATTTTATTCCACTCCCCTGTTTTCCCTTTCATTCCATTCCATTCCATTCTATTCCATTCCATTCCATTCCATTCCATTCCATTCCATTCTATTCCATTCCATTGCACTGCATTCCATTCCACTCCATTTCTATCCAATCCATTCCAATGCACTACTTTTCACTACACTCCACACCATTCCACTGCACTCCATTCCACTCCACTCCATTCCATTAAATTCCAATCCACTACATTCCATTCCACTGTTCTGTATTCCAATCCCTTCCATTCCACTATACTCCACTCTGCTCCAGTCCAAACTAGTGCACTCCACTCTTTTCCATTCCATTCCACTGCATTCCATTCCATTCCACTACATTCCATTTCAATACACTCCATTCCATTCCACTCCACTTCTTTCCATTCCTTTCCACTCAATTCCATTCCACTGCTCTCTATTCAGTTCCTCTCCATTCTAGTCTACTCTACTCCATTCTACTCCACTCCTTTCCTTTCCACTCCACTCCATTCCAGTACACTCCACGCCATTAGACTCAACTCAATTCCACTCAATTCCATTCCGTTTCATTCCATTCCATTCCATTCCATTCTTCTCCATTCCAATCCATTCCATTCCTTTCTTTTACATTCCATTCCATTCCATTGCATTCCATTCCATACCAATCTAATCCACTCCACTCCACTCCATTCCATTCCACTCCATTCCATTCCATTCCACTTCACTTCTTTTTATTTCACTCCATTCCTTTCCAATCCACTCCATTCTATTCCATTCCACTCCATTATATTGCATTCCATTCCATTCCTTTCAACTCCACTCCACTCCATTCCACTCCACATCATTCCACTCTGCTTCATTCGATTTCATGACATTCAACTCCATTCCTTTCCACTCCACTCCATTCCATTCCACTCCACTCCATTCCACTCCACTCCACTCCATTCAACTCTGCTCCATTCCACTCCACTAAATTCCGTTCCATTCCATGCCTCTCCATTCCATTCCACTCCACTCCTTTCCATTAGACACCATTCCCTTCCACTCCACTTCACTGCGTTTTATTCCACCCCCCTCCCTTCCATTAGACTCCATTCCATTCCATTCAAATTCATTCCATTCCATTCCATTCCATTCTATTCCATTCCATTCCATTCCAATCCATTCCAATGCACTCCATTATTCTCCACTCTACTCCATTCCACTGCTCTCCATTCCATGCCACTCAATTGCATTGCATTCCACACCACTCCATTCCATTCCATGGCTGTCTATTGCACTCCCTTCCATTCCACTCCACTCCACTCCAAACTACTCTACTCCACACCATTCCACTGCATTCCTCTACATTCCATTACAATCCACTCCATTCCATTCCACTCCACTCCATTCCATTCCATTAAACTCCATTCTATTCCATTCCACTCTACTCCACTTCATTCCACTCCACTCCTCTCCATTCAATTCTACTCCATTTTACTTCACTCCACTCCATTTTACTCCACTCCACTCCATTCCACTACACTGCATTCCATTCCATTCCACACCACTCTACTCCACTCGAATCCATTCCACTCCACTCCACTAGGTTCCACTCCACTCCACTTCATACCAATCCAATCCAGTGCCTTCCACTCCACTGCACGCCACTGTAATACATTCAATTCCAGGCCATTGCATTCCATTCCACACCACTCTTCTCCATGGCCCACCATTACTCTCCACTCCACTCAACTCCATTCCACTGCACTCCATTAATCTCCACTCCACTCCATTGCACTCCACTCCTTTCCGTTTCTCTCCATTCCATTCCATTCCACGCCACTCCATTCCATTCCAGGCCTCTTCATTCCATTACACACGAATCTTTTCTACTACACTACACTCCATTCCACTCAACTCCTTTCCATCGCACTCCTTTCCACTCCACTTCATTCCACTCCCCTCCACTCCATTCCACTCCTCTCCGTTCTCCAAATTGCATTTTATTCTGTTCCATGCCACTCCATTCCATTCCATTCCACTCCATTCCTTCCCACTCCACTCCATTCCACTCGATTCCACTCCACTCCATTCCATTCCATTCCATTCCATGCCACTCCATTACATTCCCTTCCATTCCATTCCATTCCACTCTTCTCCTTACCACTACATATCACTCCATTCCACACCACTCCACCCCACTGCACTTCACTCAATTCCACTCCATTCCACTCCGCTCAACTCCACTCCTCTCCATACCATTCTACTCTATTCCATTCCATTCCACTCCACTCCACCCCAGTCCATAACAGATCACCACATTCAACTCCACTCCACTCCATTCCACTACACTGCACTCCATTACATTTCACTCCAATCCAATCCATCCCACTGCTCTCCACTCCACTCCATTCCACTCCCATGCCATTTAACTCCACTCCATTCCATCCCACTGGTCTCCACTTCACTCCATTCCACGCCCCCAGCAATTACAGTCCACTCATTTCAATTCCATTCCATACCACTGCATTCCACTCCACTCCACTCCAGTCAATTCAATTCAATTCCATTCTATTCCATTCCATTCCATTCCATTCCAGTCCACTCCATTCCATTCCATTCCACTCCAATCTATTCAATTCCACTCCAATACATTCCACTCCACATCATTCGATTCTACTCCGATGCACTCCCCTCTATTCCACTCCACTCCACTCCATTCCACTCCACTACTTTCCACTCCATTCCATTCTCTTCCATCCCATTTCACTCCATTCCATACCACTCCACTCTACTCCAGTCCATTCCATTTCATTCCATTCCATTCCATTGCATTGCACTCCACTCCACTCCAGTCCATTCCATTTCATTCATTTCCATTCCATTCAATTCCTTTCCACTCCATTCCATTCCATTCCATTCCATTCCATTCCATTCCATTCAAATCCACTCCACTCCATGCCATTCCATTCCATTCCGCTCCACTGAATATGATTCCACTACACTCCATTCCACTCCTGTCCATTCAAATCCATTCCACTCTATTCAATTCCGTTCCATTCTTCTCCATTCCATTCCACTCCACTCCATTCCTCTCCATTCCATTCCACTTAATTCCATTCCACTCTATTCCACTCCTCTCCATTCCATTTCATTCCACACCATTCTACTCCACAACACTGTATTCCATTCCAATCCACACCATTCTACTCCTCTAAACTCCATTCCACTCCACTCTATTCCATTGCACACCACTAATTCCATTTCACTCCACTAATTCCATTCCACACCACTCCACACCAGTCCATTGCATTCCATTCCAAAACACTGTATTCTATGGCACACCATTTCACTCCACTCCACTTGATTCAATTCCACTGCACTGTATTCCACTCCACTCCACTCCACTGCAGTCAACTTGTCTCCTTTCCTTTCCATTCCATTCAATGCCATTGCATTCCGTACCAGTCCACTGAATTCCTTTCCACTCCAGTCCCTGAAAGTCCATTCCACTCCATTCCACTCCACTCCACTCCATTCCATCCCATTCCACTCCGTTCCATTTCAATCCACTCCACTCCACTCCAATCCACTCCCCTCCATTCCATTACTCAACACTAAATTCCACTCCACTCCACTCCATTCCCCTCCACTCAATTCCATACCACTCTGTTCCAATCCAGTCCATTCCTCTCCATTCCACTCAATTCCATTCCACTCCATTCCACTCCCCTCCATTCCATTACATTCCATTCCACTCCAGTCCATTCAAGTCCACTCCACACCATTCCACTCGACTACATTGCATTTCATTCCATTCCACTTCATTCCATTCCACTCCACTCCACTGCATTCCTTTTAATTCCATTCCATTCCATTTCATTCCATTCCTCTCTACTACACTGTATTCCATTTCATTCCATTCCATTCCATTGAATTCCATTCCACTCCATTCCTTTCCATTCCATTCCATTCCACTCCACTTCATTCCATTCTACTTCATTCCACTAAGCTCCAATCCACTTCATACCATTCCATTCCATTCCACTCCACACCATACCATTCTACTCCATTTCATTACACTGCACTCTACTTCATTCCATTCCATTCCATTCCATTCCCCTCAACAATATTCCATTCTACTCCTTTCCTTTCCGCTCCACTCCATTCCATTCTACTTCATTACACTAAGCTCAACTCCACTTCATTCCATTCCTTTCCATTCCACTCCACACCATACCATTCTACTCCATTTCATTTCGCTGCACTCCACTTCATTCCATTCCATTCCATTCCATTCCACTCCACACTCTTTCACTCTACTCCATTCCATTCCATTCCACTCCACTTCATTCCACTCCATTCCACTCCATTTAATTCCATTCCCCTACATTCCTTTCCACTTCATTCCATCCCATTCAAATCCAATCCATTCCACTGCTCTCCATTCCATTCCATTCCATGCCTCTCCATTCAATTACACTCCACTCCATTCCATTCTACTCCATTCCATTCCTTCCCATTCCATTTCATTCCGTCCCATGCCATTCTACTCCACTCCACTCCGTTGGATGCCGCTCCATTCCTTTCCATTCCATTACCTTTAATTCCAATAAACTCCATTCCATTCCACTCCTCTCCATTCCATTTCATTCCACCCCTCTCCACTCCATTCCATTCCACAGCACTCTACTCTATTCCACTCCACTCCAATCCAATCGATTCAATTCTACTCCACTTCACTCCACTGCATTCCATTTCATTCCATTCTATTCCATTCCGTTCAACTCCATTCAATTCCATTCCACTCCATTCCATTCCATTGCATTCTAGTCCACTCCTATCCACTCCACTACATTCCATTCCACTCCATTCCATTGCACTCCACTCCTTTTTATTCCACTCCACTCCATTCCATTAATCTCCATTCCACTCCACTCCATTCCACTCCATTCCACTCAACTCCACTGCATTCCACTCCACTCCTTTCCTTTCCACCCCACTCCATTCCATTCCGTTAAACTCCACTGTATTTCATTCCACTCCCCTCCATTCCATTCAACACCAATCCACTCCATTTCACTCCATTACATTCAATTCCATTCTATTTCATTCCACCGCACTAGATTCAACTCCAACCCTCTCAATTCCACTCCACTCAATTCCATTCCATTTCTTCCCTTTCCATTCCATTCCATTCATTTCCACTCCTCTCCATTGCATACCATTCCATTCCACTCCATTCCATTCCACTCCACTCCATTTCTTTCCACTCCACTCCACTGCAGTCCATTCCACTCCACTACACTCTAGTCCACTCTACCCTCTCCACTTCATTCCATGCCATTCCATTGCATTTCACCGCATTCCATTCCACACAACTTCATTCCACATATCTCCATTCCACACCACTGCATTCCCCTCCACAAGACTCCACTCCAATCCACTCCACTCCATTCTTTTCCACTCCACACCACTCTACTCCTCTAAACTCCATTCCACTCCACACCACTCAATGCAACTGTAATCTACTCCATTCCACTTCACCCCACTCCTTTCCCCTCCACTGCTCTCCATTCTAAATCATTACATTACATTCCTTTACACTCCACTCCATTTTATTCCACTCCATTCCATTATACGTCACTACATTTCATTCCATCCACTACATTCCATTCAATTCTAGTCCATTCCATTCCATTCCAGTCCATTCCACTCCACTCTATTGCACTACACTGCATTCCACTTCTCTTCTTTGGATTTCATTCCATTCCACTCCTTTGCACTCCACTCCACTCACTTCCATTCCATTCCATTCCATTCCATTCCATTCCATTCCATTCCATGCCATTGCATTCCATCCCATTCCATTCCATTCCATTCCATTCCATTCCATTCCATTCCATTGCATTCCATCCCATTCCATTCCACTCCATTCCATTCTACTCGATTCCTTTCCATTCCAATCCAATCCATTCCTCTCCATTTGAATGCACACCTTTCTATTCCACTCCATTCCACTCCACTCCTTTCCACTCCACTCCATTCCATTCCATTCCATTCCATTCCATTCCATTCCACTCTGTTCCATTCCACTCCACTCCATTCCATTCCTCTCCACTACATTCCATTCCTCTACAGTCCTTTCCACTCCTTTCCCCTCAATTCCATTTCACTCCACTCCATTTCATTCCACTCCACTCCACTCAAATTCATTCCACTCATGTCCACTCCATTCCACTCCTCTCCATTCCACTCCACTCCACTCCATTCCACTCCACTCGATCCATTCCATTCCATTCAATTCCATTCAATTCCACTCCACTCCATTCAATTCCACTCCACTCCATCACACTCCATTGGATTCCCCTCCTCACCATTCCACTCCACTAAACTCCATTTCAGTCCACTCCATTCCACTCCACTCCATTCCATTCCATGCGAGTCCTTTCCACTCCATTCCATTCCATTCCATTGCATTCCTTTCCTTTCGTTTCCATTCCATTCCACTCCATTCGATTCCACTCCACTCCATTCCATTTCATTCAATTCCATTCCTTTCCATTCCACTATACTCCATGCCATTCCACTTCTGCCCACTCCACTCCACTCCTTTCCATTCCATTCCACTCCACTCTATTCCGTTGCTCTCCATTCCACTCCATTCCACTTCACTCTACTCCACCCCATTCTACTCCCCTCCACTCCATTCCTTTCCACTACACTGCATTCCTTTCCACTCCATTAAACTCCATTCCACTGCTCTCCATTTCCCTCCTTTCCATTCCACTCCAATCCATTCCACTCCACTCTCCTCCACTCCACTGCATTCCACTCCATTCCATTCAATTCTGTTACATTCCATTCCAATCTACTCCATTCAATTCCGCTCCCCTCTATTCCATTCTTTCCACTCCACTCCACAGTATTGTATTCCATTCCAATCCTCTCCGTTCTATTGCAATCCACTCCACTCCACTCCATTCAATTCCAACCCACTCGATTCCAATTCCATTCTACTCCATTTCATTCCACTCCTCTCCTTTCCATTCCACTCCACTCCACTCCATTCCATTTCACACCACTTCACATCATTCCTCTGCCTTACACTGCATTCCTATCCATTCCTGTCCATTCCACTCAACTCCTCTCCACTCCCCTCCACACAACTACACTCCACTGCATTCCATTCCAGCCTATTCCATTCCATTCCACTCCATTCCATTCCGATCCATTCCAATACATTTCATTCCAACATTCTAATCCATTTCATTACACTCCATTCCCTAAAATTCCATTCGATTCCATTTCATTCTATTCCATTCCATTCCAATCCACTTCACCCCACTATATTCCACTCCACTCCATTCGTATCCACTCCATTCCATTCCAACGCTCTCCATTCCATTGCATTCCACTCCACTCTATTCCATTCCTATCCACTTAATTCCATTCCAAACCACGACACTCCATTCCACTCCATTACACTCCATTCCATTCCAATCCACTCCATTCCACTCCACTCCGCTTCACCCGTCTCCATTCTTTCCATTCTATTCCATTCCATTTCATTCCATTCCATTCTGTTCCACTCTATTCCATTCCATTCCATTCCACTCCATTCCTTTCCATTCCATTCCACGCCACTCCATTCCATTCCAATCCACGCCACTGCATTCCATTCCAATCCACTCCACTCCTTTCCATTCCACTCCACTCAACTCCATTCCACTCCATTCTTCTCTGTGTATTACATTCATCTCAATTCCATTCCACTCAACTCCATTCCTCTCCACTCCATTCCATCCCACTGCTCTCTACTCTTCTCCACTCCACCCACTCCATTCCATTCCACTCCACTCCCCTCCACTCACCACGAATCCAGTCCAATGAATTCTACTTGGCTCTCTTCCTTTCATTTCTACTCCATTACTTTCCACTCCACTCCAATCTTTTCCAATCCTCTCCATTCCATTCCATTCCTCTATTCTGCATTCCACTCAACTCCAATCAACTCCATTCTTCTCCATTCCACTTCAGTCCATTCCATTGAACTCCATTCCCCTCCTCTTCATTCCACTCCACCACACTCCATTCCATTCCTTACCATTCTTTTCCATTCCACTCCACTCCATTTTCTTCCACTCTAATCCATTTCATTACACTCCACTCCACTGCATTCCACTCCACTCCACTCCATTCCACTCAACTTCATTAGATTCCTTTCCATTACACTTCATTCCATTCCACTCCTTTGCATTCCATTCCAATGCTCTCCATTCCACTCCATTCCATTCCACTCCACTTCACTCCGTTCCATTCCACTCCACTCAAATCCATTCCATTTCATTCCTGTCCATTCCACTCCACTCAGCTCCATTCCATTTCATTCCTTTCCATTCCACTCCACTCAACTCCATTCCATTTCATTCCTGTCCATTCCATTCAATTGAACTCCATTCCATTCCACTCCACTCCATTCCACTCAAATCCATACCACTAATCTCCATTCCACTCCACTCTGCTCCACTCCATTTCACTCCATTCCATTCCATTCCATTCCACTTCATTCCATTCCACTTCCTAATATTCCATTCCACTACACTCTTTCCACTCCATTCCCCTCCGATCCATTTCACTCCACTCCACTCCATTCCGTTCCACTCCATTCCACTCCACTCCATTCCACTCAACTCCACTCCATTCCATTCAACTCCACTCCACTCCATTCCACTTCTCTCCATTCTACTCAACTCCTTTACATTCTATTCCACTGCTTTCAATTCTCCTCTTCTCCATTCCACTCCACTAAACTCCATTCTATTTCACTCCATTCCAATCCACTCCATTCCATTCCACTGCACTCCATTCCACTCAATTCCATTCCACTCAATTCCATTCCATTCCATTCCATTTCATTCCATTCTATTCCACTCCATTCCACACAAATCCATTCTATTCCGCTTCAGTCCATTATATTCCACTCCACTACATTCCATTCCATTGCGCTCCATTCCACTCCAAACCATTCCACTTCATACCACTTTATTCCACTCCAATCCACTGCATTGCATTAAACTCCACTCCTCCCCACTGCACTCCCCTCCAATCCATTCCATTCCACTCATTTCCAAAGCATTCCATTTCACTCCACTCCATTACATTCCTTTCCATTCCACTCCATTCCTTCCCACTCGAGTCCATTCCATTCTACTCCACTCCACTCCACTACAGTCGACTGTGTTACACTCCATTCCATTCCATTGCACTAAATTCTACTCCATTCCCCTCCACTTCTCTCTACTCCACTACATTTTTTCCATTCCGCTCCACTCCATTTTATTACCCTCCACTCCATGTGATTCATTCCATTCCACTCCAGTCCATTCCCCTCCATTCCATTCCATAGCATTCCATTACTCTCCACTGCACTTCACTACATTCCATTCCACTCCACTGCATTCCATTACACTGCTCTCCATTATAATCCCTTCCATTCCACTCCATTCCACAGCACTCCATTGCAGTCTACTCCACTCCACTCCTTTACATTCCATTCCACTGAATTACTTTCGAGCCCACTCCATTCCATTCCACATCACTCCATTTTATTCCATTCCACACCACTCTACTCCACTCCACTCTATTTTATTCCACACCACTCTACTCCACTCCACTCTATTCCATTCCTTTAAACACAACTCTAATCCACTCCAACCAATTCCAATCTACTCCACTGCACTCCATTCCACTCAACTCCACTGCAAACCACTTCACTCCACTCCATTCAATGCCATTCCACTCCGCTCTTCTCCACTCCACTCCATTCCACTCCAGTCCACTCGATTCCATTCCACTTCACTCCATTCCTCTCCACTCCTATACTTTCCAATCTACTCCATTCCGCTTCTCTCCATTCCATTCCATTCCATGCCATGCCACTCAATTCCATTACATTCCACTCAAATCCTTTCCACTCCATGCCTCTCCACTCCATTCCACTCCATTCCAATATTCTACACTACAATAAACTCCATTCCACTCCACTCCATTCCACTCCACTACTCTTCACTCCATTACATTCTATTCAACTCCATTCCATTCCATTCCACTCCACTCCACGCAACCCAATTCCATCACACACTGCTCCATTTCACTCCACTCCACTGTATTCCATTCCACTCCCTTCCATACTACTCCGTTCCTCTTTACTCCATTGCAGTCCACTCCACTCCATTCCAATCCATTCCACTCCACTCCATTCCACTGCACTCCATTCCATTCCTTTCCACTCCATTCCATTCCACTTCACTACACTCCACTCCATTCCATTTCTTTCCATTCCATTCCAAGCAATTCCATTCCACTCCATTTCATTTCATTCCATTCCATTCCGCACCATTCTATTGCTCTCTATTCCACTCTAGTCCTATCTATTCCATTCCACTACATTCCATTCCACTTCAATCCATTTTATTCCTACCAACTCCATTCCATTCCACACCGTTTATATCCGTTCCACTTCATTCTATTCCTTTCCATTTCATTCCATTCCATTCCATTCCATTCCATTCCACTCCATTCTATTCCACTCCACTCCATTCCGTTACACTCCTCTCAACTGCTTTCATCTCCAATCCACTACATTACATCCCCCAACACTCCTGTGGATTCCACTCCAATCCATTGAAATCCATTACATTGAATTCCATACCACTGCAGTCCACTCCTTTCCATTCCACCCCATTCCACTCCACTCCATTCCACTACAATCCATTCCATTCCATTCCACTCCATTCCTTTCCACTCCACACCACTCCTTTTTACTCTACACCATTCCATTCCACTCCAATCCGTTGCACTCCATTCCATTCCACTCCATTCCACTAAACTTTTCTCCGCTCCGCACCTCTCAACGCAACTCCATTCCATTCAATTGCACTACATACCATTACATTCTTTTCCACTCCACTACATTCCGTTCCACTCCACTCCAATTCATTCCACCCTATTCCACTCCATTCCATTCTATTTCACCCCGTTCTATTCCACTCCAATCCATTCCCTCCACTCCATTCCATTGTACTCCACTCCACTCACCTCAACTCCACTCCATTCCATTCCACTCAACTCTACTCCGTTCCAAATCACCCTATTGCACTCCACTCTATTCAAATCCATTCCCTTCCGCTCCTTTCCATTCCAGTACAGTCCACTGCACTGCATTCCATTTCATTCCATTCCATTCCATTCAAATGTATTCGACTCCATTCCATTCCATTCCATTGCATTCCAATCCACTCCATTCCATTCCACTCCATTCCATTCCATTCCACTCCACTCCATTTTATTCCACTCCACTCAATTCGTTTCCAATAAATTTCATTGCATTCCGCTCCACTCCATTCCACTCCACTCCATTCAAATCCATTCCACTCCATTCCATTCCACTCCACTCCAGTCCATTACACTCCACGTCTTTCCACTCCACTCCATTCGATTCCATTGCATGACACTCTATTCCCTTTCACTCTACTCCATTCCGTTTTACTCCATTCCACTCCATTTCACTGTGTTCCATTCCACTCCATTCCAGTCCATTCCATTCCACAACATTACATTCCAATCCATTTCACTCCACTCCATTCCAGTCCAGTCCACTGCATTCCACTCCACTCCGTTCCCACCCACTCCATTCCTTTCCATTTCATTCTACTCCGTTCTATGCCATTCCAATCCATTCCATGCCACTCCACTCCATTCCATTCCACTCCAATCCATTCCATTCCACTCTACTCCATTGCATTCCTTCCCCCTCCATTCTATTTCACTCCACTCCATTCCATTCCACTCCTTTCCACCCCACTCCACTCCTTCACATTCCACTCCACTCCATCCATTCCATTCTACTCCTTCCCATTCCACTCCACTCCATCCATTCCATTCTACTCCACTCCATTCCATTCCACTCTACTCCATTCCACTCCATTCCATTCCACTCCATTCCATTCCATTCGACTCCATTTCATTCCATTCCATTCCATTCTATTCCATTCCATTCGGAACCACTCAATTCCACTCCACTCCACTCAGTTCCCTTCAAGTCCACTCCATTCCATTGCAATGCAATCCATTACACTCCACTCTACGCCAATCCACTCTGTTCCTTTCCACTGCAGTCGTTTCTAATCTATTCGTCTCCATTCCATTCCTTTCTGTTCCGTTCCATTCCATTTCATTCCATTCAATTCCACCCCATTTCATTCCATTCCATTACTCTCCATTCCTTCCTACTCCAGTCCATCATATTCCACTCCACTCCAATGCACTGCACTCCACTGGACTCCATTCAACTGCATTACACTCCATTGCTCTCCATTCCACTCCATTGAACTCCACTCCACTCCACCACGCTCTCCTACACTCCATTCCAATCCATTCCACTCAACTCCGTTTCATTCCTCTACACTCCGTTCCGTTCACTCCATTCTACTCCATTCCATTCCTTTCCATGGCATTCCATTCCATTCCATTCCATTGCACTCCTTTCCATTCCATTTCACCCGTTTCCCTTCCACTTCACTCCATTCCACTGCACTCCATTAACCTCCACTCCACTCCATTCTATTCCAGAGCCCTTAACCCCACTCAACTCCACGCCACTCCATTCCACTCCAATCCACTCCATTCCATTGCACTCCACTCCACTATACTACATTCCATTCCACACCACTCCATTCCATTCCATTCCTTTCCACACCACTCCATTCCATTCCATTCCATTCCATTCCATTCCATTCCATTCCATTCCATGCCACTCCATTGCACTCCACTCCATTCCACTCAAATCCTCTACCTTTCTTTTCATTCCATTCCACTCCATTTTACTCCATTACATTCCATTCCACTCCAGTCCACTCCTATCCACTCCATTCCATTCCACTCCGCTCCATTCCACTCCATTCCTCACCATTCCATTACACTCCACTCCACACCACTCCACTCTGGTCCACTCTACTCCATTCCATTCCATTCCACTCCATTCCATTACATTCCCTTCCACTCCACTCCATTCAGTTCCTCAGCTCTCCAGTCCACTTCATTGCATTCCATTCCTCTCCACTCCACTCCATCCCTCTTGACTCCACTTCACTCCACTGCATTCCAATCCATTCCACTCTTCTGTATTCCACTCCCCTCCACTCCATTGCACTCCAATCCACTCTACCCCACTCGACTCCTCTCCACTACACTGCATTCCATTCCATTCTATTTCATTGCATTCCATTTCACTCCATTACATTTCTTTCTAATCCATTCCACTCCATTCCTTTCCATTTCTGCCCATTCCTTTCGACTACACTCCATTCTATTTCACACCAATGTTCTCCTTTCCACTCCATACCACTCCATTACATTCCATTCCACTGAATTCCTCTCCACTCCACTTCACTCAACTCCACTCCGTTCAATTCTATTCCACTCCATTACATTCCATTCTTTTCCAGTAAACTCCATTCCCTTCCACTCCTATCCACTCCACTCCACCCCACTTCACTACACTCCATTCCATTAGTCTCCATTCCATTCCACTGCACACCACTCCACTCCAGTCAATTCTATTGCATTCCATTCCACTCCATTCCATTCCACTTCTGTCCACTCCACCGCATTCCATTTCATTCCATTCCCTTCCATTCAATTCCATTCCATTCCACTACACTCCATTCCATTCCATTCCATTCCATTTCACTCTACTCCACTCCACTCCACTCCGTTCCATTCCACTCCCTTTTATTCCACTCCACTCGATTGTATTCCAATTTTTTCATTCAATTCCACTAAATTCCATTGCATTCTACTCCACTACAATTCTTTCCAATCCACTCTATTCCACTTCACTTCTTTCGATTCCATTCGATTCCACTAAAATCCATTCCTCTCCAATCCATTCCATTCCATTCCATTACACTCGACTCCATTGAGTTTTACTCCACTCCATGCCATTCCAGAGCACTCCTTTACAATCCAATCTAATCCACTCCATTAAATTCTATTGCATTCCATGCCACTCCATTCTATTCCACTCCACTCTATTCCATTCCATTCAATTCCTTTCCATTCCATTCTACTCCATTCCATTCCACTCTATTCCTCTCAACTCCATTCCACTTCCCTTCACTCCATTCCACTCCACTCCATTCCATTCCACTCCATTCTATTCCACAACACTGTTTACCCTCCATTCCCCTTATTCCATTCCTCTCCACTCCACTCCAATCCACTCCACTCCATTCCACTAAACTCCACTCCATTCCTCTCCAATCCATTCCACTACAATCCACTCCATTCCTTTCCATTCCACTTCACTCCATTCTGTTTTACTCCACTCCATTCCATTCCACTCCACCTCATTCTACACCACTCTACTCTATTGTACCCAAATCTATTCCACTCCACTCCATTCCTATCCACTCCATTTCATTCCAATCCACTATACTCAACTTCCCTCCACCCACTCCTTTCCACTACACTCCACTCCACTCACCTCCACTCTAATCCATTCCACTCCCCTCCATTCAATTCCCTTTCATTCTATTCCTCTCCACTCCATTCAATTCCATTCCATTCTATTCCAATCCATTACATTCCACTCTACTCCACTCCATTCCACATTACTCCACTCAATTGCATTCCATTCCATTCCACTCCATTACATTCGATTCCATACCACTCTGCTTCACTCCACTCTATTCCAATCCACTCCCCTCAATTCCATTCCACTCCCCTTCTTTCCATTTGAACTACGCACCATTCCACTCCACTCCACTCCCTTCCAGTCTATTCCACACCACTCTACTCCATTGCACTCCATTCCACTCCAGTCCACTCGATTCCATTCCTCTCCACTCCATTCCACTCCATTCCATTCCACTTCTCGTCTCCACTCCATTCCCCTCCATTCCACTCCACTATATTCCACTCCATTCCATTCCATTCCATTTCTTTCGGTTTCATTCCGTTCCATTCAATGCCATTCCACTCCATTCTATTCCATTCCATTCCGTTAAAATCCATTAAACTCCGCTCCACTCCACTTCATTCCATTCCTCTCCATTCAATTCCATTCCACTCCATTTTTTT
This sequence comes from Homo sapiens, assembly GCF_000001405.40. Taxonomy (NCBI): domain Eukaryota; kingdom Metazoa; phylum Chordata; class Mammalia; order Primates; family Hominidae; genus Homo; species Homo sapiens. The sequence goes on along the minus strand of NT_187391.1, from coordinate 64,911 downwards.
GGACTCCACTCCAATCCATTCCATTCCATTCCATTCCCCTCCATTCCATTCCATTCCACTCCCCTCCATTCCATTCCATTCCATTCCATTCCATTCCATTCCATTCCACTCCTCTCCATTCTATTCCCATCCATTGCATTCCATTCCACTCTTTTTGAATCCATTCTATTCCATTCAATTCCATTTCACTACACACCACTCCATTCCACTCCACTCTATTCCAATCCACTTCACTCGATTCCATTCTATTCCACTCCATTCCATTCCACTCAACCCCATTCCATTCCAATGCTCTCCATTCAACTCTATTCCATTCCTCTCCAATCAAATCCTCTCCATTCCACTCTACCTCACTCCAATCCATTCCACTCCACCTCACTCCACTCCTTTCCACTCCACTCCATTCCATTGCACTCCATTACACTCCACTCCTCTCCTTTCCCCTCCATTCCAATCCGTTCCAATCCATTCCTTTCCCCTCCATTCCATTCCATTCCATGCCACTTTATGCCATTCCATTCCAGTCCAATCCATTCCACTCCACCCCACTCCATTCCACTCAACTCCACTCCATTCCACTCCACTAGAATCCACTCCAGTCCACTCAATTCCATTCCACTCCACTCCATTCCCTTCCACTCCACTCCATTCCATTCCACTCCACTCCACTCCATTCCACTCTTTCCGTTCCTTTCCATTCAATTCCGTTCCAATCCACCCTATTCCATTCCACTCCATTCCATTCCCCTCCACTACATTCCATTCCATTCCCATCCACTACATTCCATTCCATTCCCATCCTGTCCACTCCATTCCATTCTGCTCCACTACATTCCATTCCATTGCTCTTTATTCCACTCCCTTACATTCCAATACACCTCACTCAACTCCACTCCAGTCTGCTCCACTCCACAGCATTCTACTCCATTCCAATACATTCCATTCCAATTCACAAAATTCCGTTCAACTCTTCTCCATTTCATTCCATTACACTCCACCTCACTCCATTACATAAAACTCCTCTCTGTTCCACTCCAATCCATTCCATTTCAACCCACTCCATTCCATTCCATTCCAAGCCATTCAATTCCACTCAACTCCATTCCATTGCACACCAATCCACTCCATTCCATCTATTAAGTTTGATTACATTCTGTTCCACTCCAATCCACTCCACTCCATTTACTGTACCCAATTCCATTCCATTCCACTCCATTTCATTCCATTACACTCCATTCCACTGCATTCCTTTCCACACCATTCCATTCCATTACACTCCACTCCATTGCATTCCAATCCATTCCATTCCACTACACTCCATGCGACCACACTCGATTCAAATACAGTACACTCTGTTAACATCCATTACACTTCACTCCATTCCATTCCACTCCATTCCATTCCATTCCACTGCACTCCATTCTATTCCCCACAACTCCACTCCATTCCATTCCATTCCATTCCATTCCAATCCATTCCTATCCACTCCACTCCACTCCACTCCACTACACTCCATTCCATTCCACTCCATTCCATTGCATTCCACTCCACTCCATTCCACTCCATAGCACTCCATTCCATTCCATTGCACTGCACTTCATTCCATTCCACTGCTCTCCATTACACTCCATTCCATTCCACTGAATGCCACTCCACTCCACTCCCCTTCAATCGACTCCACTCCTTTCCGTTCCGTTCCTTTCCATTCCATTCCACACCATTCCATTCCATTGCACTCCACTCCCTTCCATTCCTGTACAGTCCACTCCGTTCCGCAACATTACACTCCATTCTACTCCGTTCCATTCCATTGCACTGCATTCCCTACCACTCCACTCCACTCCACTCCTATCCATTTCACTCTGTTCCATTCCATTCCACTCCAATCCATTCCAAACCACTCCTCTGCATTCCATTCTAATCCATTCCATCCCATCCCATTACACTCCATTCCAGTCCATTCCTCTCCATTGCATTACATTCTATTCTATTCAATTACATTCCATTACACTCCATTCCACTCCCCACAATTCCACTCCAATCCATATCACGGCCCTCCATTCTATTCCATTCCATTCCACTCCATTCCGTTCTACTCCACTCCATTCCATTTCACTCCACTCTCATCCACTATATTCCACTCCATTCCATTCCACTCCACTCCATTCCATTCCATTCCATTCCACTCCACTCCACTCCGTTCCATTCCACTCCACTTCATTCCACTCCATTCCATGCCATTTCACTGCACTCCACTCCAATCCATTCCACTCCACTCCACTCCACTCCATTTCATTTCACTTCAATCCATTCCATTCCACTCCAGTCCACTCCAAATCCATTTCACTCCATTCCACTCCATTCCATTCCTTTCCATACCATTCCATTCCACTCCACTCCACTCAATTCCACTCCATTTCATTCCATTTCTTTTCATTCCATTCTATTCCACTCCATTCTATTCCACTCCATTCCACTCCACCACATTCAGTTCCACTCCACTCCATTCCATTCCATTCCATTCCATTCCATTCCATTCTATTCCAATCCACTTCACTCCATTCCACTCCTCTACATTCCGAAACACTTCATATAATTCCATTCCTTTCTACTCCATTACATTCTGCTTCACATCATTCAATTCCACTGCTTTCCATTCCACTCCATTCCACTCCTCTCTATTCCATTCCACACCACTCCTTTCCACTGGATTCCACTCCATTCCACTCAAGTCCAGTCCAGCCCTCTCCAATCCATTCCATTCTCTTCCATGCCATTCCGTTCCATTCCATTCCATTCCATTGTATTCCACCACATTGCATTCCATTCCATTCCATACCGTTCCACTCCTTTGCATTCCATTTCATTCTATTCCATTCCATTCCATTCCATTCCACTCCATTACATACCACTGCACTTCATTCTATTCCACTGCTCGCCATTCCACTCCATTCCATTCCACTCAACTCCACTCCGTTCCATTCCTCTTCACAAGACTCCACTCCATGCAATTCCATTCCATTCCATTCAACTCTACTCCATTCCATTCCTGTGGACTCCAGTACATTCCCCTCCATTCTACTCTGTTCCATTCCATTCCACTCCATTCCATTCCACAACACTCAAATCCATTCCTATTCATTCCACCCCATTACAATCCACTCCATTAAAATCCATTCCACTTCATTCCATTTCATTCTACTACATTCCTCTCCCCTCCATTCCATTCCACTCCACTCAATTCAACTCCATTCCACTCCATTCCATATCACTCCACTCTAATCCAATCCATTCCACTACATTCCATTCCTTTCCATTTCATTCTATTTCCCTCCACTCCTCTCTACTCCATTCCATTCCATTTCAATCCACTCCACTCCTCTCCACTCCGCCCTTCTTCATTGCATTCCACTCCATTCCATTCCTTTCCATTCCACTCACCTGTACTCCATTACACTCCATTCCACTCTATTCCATTCCATTCCACTCCACTCTAATCCATTCTATTCCATTCCACCCAATTCCTTTCCATTCCACCTCCATTCCATTCCATTTCATTCTGTTCCATTCCATTCCTTTCCATTTAACTCCACTCCAGTCCACTCCATTCCACTCCAATCCACTCCATTCCACTTCACTCTATTCTATTCCACTCCGCTCCAATCCATTCCTTGCATTCCATTGCATTCTTTTGCATTCCATTCCACTCCATTCCAATGCACTCCACTCCAATTCACTCCATTCTTCTCCATTTGACTCCACTCCATTACATTCCATTCCAATCCACTCCACGCCATTACACTGCATTCCACTCCATTCCATTCCATTCCATTCCACTCCATTCCATTGCATTCCATTCCACTCAATTCCTCTCCATTCCATTCCATTCCACTGCTTGCCATTCCACTGCATTCCAAAACACTCAATACCGTTCTCTCCACTCCATTGGAGACCACTGGAGTACCCTCCAATCCCCTCCACTCCACTCCATTCCATTCCAGTCCGTTGCATTCCATTCTACTGAACTGCATTTTTTCCACTGTACTCCATTCTATTACTCTCCATTACATTCCATTGCATTCCACTCCACCCCACTACATTTTTTCTACTCCACTACATTCCATTCCTCTCTATTCCATTCCATTCCATTCCACTGCACTCCATTCAACTCCACTCCATTCCATTCCACTCCAGTACATTCCACTCCCTTACATTCCACTCCATTCCGCTACACTCATTCAACTCCACTCCTTTCCATTCCATTCCATTCCACTCCATTCCATTCCTTTCCATTCTATTCCATTGACTCCACTCCACTACTTTACACTCCATTCCAGTCCATTCCATTCCTCTCCATTCCACTGTCCTCCGCTCTATTCCATTCCATTCCATTTCATTCCACTCCACTCCACTTCACTCCACCCTTCTTCATTGCATTCCACTTCATTCCATTCCTTTCCACTGCACTCCACTCCACCCTTCTTCATTGCATTCCATTTCGTTCCCTTCCTTTCCACTCCACTCCACTCCATTCCACTCCATTCCACTCTATTCCTTTCCATTCCACTCCACTCTACTCCTTTACATTCCATTCCACCCAATTCCATTTCATTCCAACTCCATTCCATTCCATTCCATTCCATTCCTTTACATTACATTCCTGTACACTCCATTCCATTACACTCCAATACTTTTAATTCCACTCCACTCCATTCCACTCCATTCAATGCCATTCCACTCCTTACAACTCCACTCCATTCCATTCAACTCCATTCCACTCCACTCCACTCCATTGAACTCTACTCCACTCCATTTGACCCCAATCCATTCGATTACACCGCCCTCCCCTCCCATCCTTTCCACTCCATTCCATTCCATTCCAATCCATTCCTCTGCACTCCATTAAATTCCACTACATTCCATTCCATTCCATTCCATTCCCTTCCATTCCACTCCAATCCATTCCATTCCATTCTGTTGCACTCCACTTCAATCCATTGCACTCCACTGCATTGCATTCCACTTCACTCAATTCCACTTTATTCCACTCCATTCCACTCCACTCCATTCCATTGTGTTCAATTCCATTCCACTCCACTCCTCTCTACTCTATTCCATTACACTCCACTCTTCTACATTCCATTCCATTCCACTCCACTCCAATCCACTCCTCTCCTTTCCACTCCACTCATTCCATTCCATTCAACTCCACTGCACTCCACTCCATTACACTCCATTCCAATGCATTTCATTCCATTCCAGTCCACCACATTCCATTCCACTCCATTCTATGCTATTCCCCTCCATACAATTCTACTTCATTCCATTATACTCTATTCAACTCCAGTCCACTCAATTCCTATCCAATCCTGTCCGTTCCATTCCACTCAATTCAATTCCACTCCAGTCCATTCCATTCCATTCCTTTAAACTCCATTCCATTCCATTCAATTCCTTTACATTTCCTTCCATTCCATTGCATTCCATTCTACTCCACTACATTCCAATCCACTTCATTCCACTCCACTCCAATACATTCCACTCCACTCAGTTGAATTTCATTCCTTTCCATTCCATTCCATTTCATTCTATTCCATTCCATTCCACTCCATAGCATTCCATTCCATTGCATTCCACTACAATCCATTCCATTCCATTCCATTCCACTTCACTCCGTTCCACTCCATTGTATTTCAAGCCACTCCACTGCATTCCACTCCATTCCATTCCACTTCTTTCAATTCTACTCCATTCCATGCCATTCCATTTCACTCCATTCCATTCGAATCCATTCCATTCTATTCTATTCCATTGCATTCCTTTCCACTCCTCTCCACTCCATAGCATTCCATTCTCTTCAATTCCATTCCACTCGACCCCCTTCAGCTCCTCTCCACCTCACTCCATTCCATTCCATTGCATTCCATTCCATTATATTCCTTTCAAATCCACTCAGTTCCATTCCACTCCACTCCACTCCACTCCACTCCATTCTATTCCATTCCTTTCCACTCTACTCCATTCCATTCCATTAAATTCCATTTCCTTCCACTCCACTCATTTCCATTCCTTTGCTCTCGACCCGACTCCACTCCACATCAAAGCATTCCATTCCATTGAATTCCGTTATCTTCCACTCCACTCAATTCCATTCCACTCCACTCCACTCCATTCCAATCCATTCCATTCCATTTCATTCCATTCCATTCCATTCCATTCCACTCCTTTCCAATCCATTCCACTATATTCCATTCCAATACACTCCACTCCACTACATTCCACTCCATTGCATTCCACTCCACTCCACTCCTCTCCATTCCATTCTATTCGATTCTATTCCATTGAATGCCATTCCACTCCACTCCACTTCACTCCTCTCCTTCCATTCCATTCCATTCCACTCCACTGCATTCAATTCCACTCCACTCCACTAAACTCCACTCTATTCCTCTCCATTCCACTCCACTCCACTTCTTTCCTTTCCATTCCATTGCATTTCATTCCACTCCATTCCATTCTATTCCATTCCATTCCATTCCATTCCATTTCACTCACTCCACTCCCTCCACTCTATTCCACTCCA